>NC_000006.12:163404123-163555638 GCF_000001405.40 Homo sapiens
GACTCATAATTGAATCCCAGAAAGGTTTATTTGAAAGCTTTTTCCTTTCAACTACCTTGATTTAATTGTGTGTGTCCTGGCCTTCATTTGGAGATGAGGCTCTGAAAGCCACTTTGTTACCTTGAAAACCACTGAGAGAAAGTCCTGACTCCATTGGTAAGTTTTCTGGAGGCTACAGGTGTGGCCCAGGGCTGGGAGGTGGTGACAAGACTAGGAGGTGCAGAAGTCATAATTTTAAGGACCTAATCTCGTTGAAGCGAAATTTCTAGGGGGTTACCAGGAGAGATGAAGCTGATTTCAAGGCACGTGCAGGGAAGGTAGAAGGAGCCACTGCTGTCTAGCTGCTTCCTGCATGATCTAGTAAAACAAACTTGCAGAAGCCACTAGTGAAGTACGTATATTTTTGTCTCTCCACTTTCAGATTTTAGGTGATTCAAAATAAGGGCTATGTTTTCCCATGGTATCTGATTAAAGCTTGTTGCTATTGCTTTCCAAGTATCTAGTGAAGTAAGCCAAAAGCATGGTTTGCTGAGTGGGCAGGTGGGGCAGACCCCCTTCTGGCTCCTTCACTCTCCTACACTGCTGCGGTGGCCACCTCGGGGCAGGGATTGGAGAAAGCCCTTGAGCTGGCATAATGCAGCCCAACAGTTGCTTGGACATCACAGTTTAAACCCTGGGTTAGCCCACAACTCTCTGTGCTAGAATATCATCATGGAATCTAACAGGCGTGGTGAGCTCCTGGACCTTCCGGAAGACGGGATCTCCTAAGCTCCCTCCACTAACTGCCAGGCCCACTGTTTCTAGGGCAGGCGCAGGAGGGAGGCAGCCTCTCCTTTTCCACTTGGTCCTGCAATGACACAGTGGCTTTCAACACTGGGTCTTGGTGGCGACCCCTGGCCAGCTTTAGAGCAAGTGTTGTTGCTGCTGACAATGGGGCCAGCCCAGGACTGAGGCTCCTTTTCATCAGGCTGTTTGTCCCTTTACGTCCTAGTGTCAGCAGTCCTGGGAACAGGAAACGGTTTGTGCAATAGGAAGCAGCAGAAAACTGATGACTGAATACTTTTGAGCTTTGTGGAGAAAATTTCAACGTAGAGAGATTGCACACATCCCAAAATACGTGTGTACGAACTGGAGCCCTATCCAGGCCTCCTTTTCAATTCTTAAAATGATGCTATTTATTGAAAGCTTACCATGTCCCAGGCATGCAGTGAGGCACCCATGCCATCCTAACATCCTTATGCTGCACCACCTTACCTTACAGGCAAGAAAAGAGAGGTGCAGAGAGTTTACGTTGCTTTTAGCAAGTGACAGGGTCGAGATTTGAACCTGGGACCTCTTCAGTGACTTTTCTGGATCCTCCTGCTCTGCAGCTGCCTCGGAGGACCAGCAAATTCTTCAGGAAAAATGTTTCAGGACTTTCCGTCCTTGTTTCAGGACCGTTCCTCTGCATTATCTGTGAGAAGCGTTTCTATAGTCTTGGCACATAGTTATGCTGTGGGGCTAAGGTATTATTATTTCATATTTCAGTGCAGAAGGAAGTACTTATTAAAAGGCCCCAAACCAGTTGTCTGAGCCTAGAGATGAAAGGCCTCCTTCCCGCACCGGCCTGGGTGCTGAGTGGCCCTGACGCCAGGCCAGCCTGCCACTTACAGTCTGAGACTTGTGTCTGCTCCCTCTTCCCAAACACAGAGGCAGGGCCTGGCTGGGGCCATCTGATGAAGTGCCAGTGTGCCTTCATGAAATCAGGCATGGGACTGACTGAAAAGCTGAAATCTGGTGAGCTGAGGGGGAGGAGAAGGTCAAGTCTGGCTGTCGGTCTACAGAGGTCAAGGACCTGGCACAGAGCAGGGCCTGCTGCCTCTGCCACCAACAGCCAGGCACCCAGAGAGGAACTGGAGGAGAAGGCGGCTCGCTGCTGGCAGGTCAGCTGATGGGAGAGTTTACAAGACTGTCTTTGAACTCCTCGCATGCAAGCCCTTCTTCTCCTTCCTGATTCACATTTAAGTTTGCGTTCCTGATCCCCTCACATTCTTTCTGCTCCTTTAACAGCTTCACCTGGACACAGAAAGGACAGAGGCAGGAGCAGGGCCACGTCCCTCTGTCGATCACAGCTTTAGCTTTCAGTTTCTCACGGCTGCTTAATTCCCAGCTCACACTATCAATATAGGGCACGCATTTTAAAACTGTTAAATAAAAACAGCTGCTCATTTCACTATGCCACATTTTCTTTCCAACTCAAAAGGATGCTCACTACCAATGGATACTGAGAAAAATACAGTGTCATTAATGTCAGTTAATCAAGTTGGTGGTCCTTGAAGATCTATAAAATGTAACTGTAACACATTTTACAGATTGGCTTAGACAGAATAACTAGGAAATAATAAATGCTAGCATCATCAGTAT
This sequence comes from Homo sapiens, assembly GCF_000001405.40. Lineage (NCBI taxonomy): Eukaryota > Metazoa > Chordata > Mammalia > Primates > Hominidae > Homo > Homo sapiens. The sequence goes on from NC_000006.12 coordinate 163,406,527, forward strand.
TACTTGTACAGCTCAGCAAAGGAACGCAAATGGCTACACAGGACTGGGGAAGAACAGAACAGAGATATTTCTTTGTGTGAAATACAGAGTTTATCATAAGGAGGAGAATGAATCACTTTTCATCTCTGGCAGCAACCTGTTTTTTTAACATATTATTTATGGAAAATAGAAAGCAAAACTGAAGCCTTTGGTATTTCATTGCCACTGGATAAATGTCATTTGTATAAACCTTTCTAAATTTGGATATATACCCAAAGAACCTACATGTATCTTAGACAAAAAACTATCCACTTTCATTACATTTAGTAAAAACTCATAAGCCCAGGATTAATGGACATAAAGATATGAAATAAAATAATTTTCTAAATATGCAAAGAAGCCCATACAAACAGAAGTAATAATCAAAAAGTTGTAACAGTTGGTCCAGCACAGGCATAAATGATCAGTGTCTGCCAGCCCTGATGGGGTCAGGGTGCCAGGCATCTTGCCTTTGGTTGCTGGGTTAGGGGGGTCCCGGGGCTCCGGAAGAGGGCCTGGGTAGTATGGCTCAGAGCAGTGACTGCTCACTGAGTGGTGTGGGAATCTTTCAAAATTTAAAAACTGAAAAGGCTGTACTGGTGTGTACTGCTTGAATCTCAGTGCTACAAATAATTGCTTTTAATCTTTTTTTTTTTTTTTTTGAGACAGGATCTTGCTCTGTTGCCCAGGCTGGAGTGCAGTGGTGTGAGCTCAGCTCACTGCAACCTCCATCTCCTGGGTTCAAGCCATTCTTGTGCCTCAGCTTCCCTAGTAGCTGGGATTATAGGCGTACGCCACCACACCTGGCTAATTTTTGTATTTTTTGGTAGAGATGGGGTTTCGCCATATTGGCCAGGCTGGTCTCAAACTCCTGACCTCAAGTGACCTACCTGACTCAGCCTCCCAAAGTGCTGGGATTACAGGCATGAGCCACTGTGCCCTGCCTGCTTTTAATCTTATATCTGAATAAGTAGTGAACAATTCTGATAAAATATCATTGCTATACAAACTCTTCAATGTTAAAACCAGAGGCGCTCATTTTCTAACCTGTTATAGATTCAGAGGACTATGGATTCCCTGGCCTAGTTGCCACAAATGCTGTTTCCTGCTGAGTAAGACATCGCTTACACTCCAAAATACTTTGCAAGAATCACTGAATTACATTGCAAAATATGAACACACAGCATCAAACACTACCTGTCATTGAAGGCAAAGAAATCTTTTGGATTTTCAGATGCTATGAGCAGCTTACATGGCTGCTTCCTCTCCTTAGAGTCCAAGTATGTCTCTGTGTTTTTTCCTTTTTTTCTTTTGTTCATTCAAAGAAGTAATTATTTAAAGTAGACTACTTGTAAAGCATTTTAAGAGCAGAAAGAGGAATAAGACCTGAATTCTACCTTTAAGGAATTTTTATGCTCTACTTGTAGTAAGTTTCTTCATCAAGAGCTCTAGATGAAATTTTTTAGTGCTCCACTTTCTATTAAGTTGTAGTATGTTTAAAAAAATAAGAAAGATTTGATTTTAATTCTTTGGAAATTACAAAAATGTAACATTTTCAGCCAAATGTGTTGCCTAAGGGAAATAAAAATTCTTAGTGTGTGTGTGTGTATATATATATATATATATATATATACACACACACACACACAAAGAATTTATAGTTCTTTATATATATTATATATAATATACATAATATATAATATATATCCATATTATTTATTTATTACTTATTTCAACAAGTTGTGCAAAATTGGACACCTAAAGGTTTTTATATTAATTTCTTATTGCTATTACATGACCATCCATCTGCATACAGGGTTATCCTGGGTGCAGAAATAAAATTACAACAAGGTCAATTTGCTAATCTTAGTGAGGATATTTTATTTAGAATCACAGAATTTTAAACCTTCGAATGACTTTGGAGATCACTTAGTTCAACTCGGATTCAGGGTTACTTATGCAGTGCTACACAACTTATTAGCATAGAACGAATAAGGCTTTTTATACCTAGCACAGCAATCCTTTCTCTATACACCATCAGCTAGAATACTGGAAAAAAGAGACTCAAACGCCACAGGTATTTTAATTAAAGTACAGCTCCTGAGGTACCCAAGTTTAACTTACAGAAAGGTCAACAGTGTGCCTTCCATCACTCAGGACTCCGAAGGTCTGCCTTGAATCCTGTCCTGAATTCAGTAGCTGCCACATGAGTCACATTATGTAGTTAACCCTCTCAGCCTCTGCTTCTTCAGCGGTAAAATGAGGATAATTATTAACTCAGAGTTGCTGCATACTCAGTAACTGAAGTGCCCGAAGGTTGATCGGGACTCTATAAATGTCAGTCTTTTTTTTGGTCTTTCCTTGGTCTCACTGGGAACTCAGTTAAGAACGCATTAATATACAGAAATTACTGGAAAAGTACATTTAGGCTCTAAGTTAAATTTTAGTAAAGGATAATGGCATTTGATTAAATGTCTGGGACATGAATAGTCATTCCCCTTGTTGGTAAAATGGTCACCCATATTAACTTTTAAAACTAACTCATAGACTATAAATCCAACATATCCATTTAGTATGTTAAAAAAAATCTAATCACAGATGCATCCTAAAGGGTCCCAAATCTGAAGGAAAAAAATAAAATAAAATAACAATCAACCCAATCCAGGAGAGCACCTGTGAAATTGTCTTGCAATCATAAAACCAAGCATCAGTCTGGGAGTAGATCAAAACAAAATGCATTTGTAACTCACTCTCACCTTCCTGTGATTGACAGACAGTTATTTTTTAGGTGGTTTCTGTTTAAATATGGAATGAAGGTTGGATTATATAGCACAAGGACCTGCATCCTGGCTGAGAATGTTTTTACCTCTAAAGTTTCATTTAGGGTCAAATGAGTAGAAACCTTACACTGTCAGTTACCGTTTAACCGTTGTGCAGTAGTTTAAGCTAAATGTTAGTACTACATCTGGAATGATCATGTCAGTGGCTTAAAAAAGCAGCACAGTTACCATTAGAACAGCTGTGAAGAGCAATGCCTTTCATTTTACAAATGTTGTATTTGTACTAGTAGATATAAATAAGGTTCACTGAGAGGAATCCATGTTACTATCTAATTTGTTCATTTCTTTATATTAAAAAAAAATTCCTTTTGAGATCAGCCTGGGCAACAACCTAGGGAGACCACCTCCCCCCTGACCGCCCCCCGCCCCCGCCGCCATCTCCGCCCACTCCCCATCCCAACACACACACAAATCCCAAGGCTCTTCCCCTACAAACACTCTAGTTTGATGTTCAAGGCCAACCAAAATCTGGCATCAAATACTCTCTGTGGAAACTCCTACCCTAACACCTCGTACTTTTCCACTTCCCAAGTTCTGTCATTGCTGTCTCCCAACACTCTTTGCTCCGCCTCGAGATCAAATCCACCTCCCCGGTGTGGTCTTACAATGGCTTCCGGGCAGGCAATGTTGGTGCTCACCGGTATTTTCACAGCATTTTTGTCTTTAGCCTTTACGTGGCAGTTATTAGTTAACTTTTTAAATGTACCTGCACATGCTATTAACTCCCAGCTCAGCCTGTAAATGCCTTAGGGTTAATGATATGCATTTACATATAACAGGTACTGGAAATATTTAAGATATTCACATTTGAAATGTTTCATTTTCAATCTTTTAAATAGTACCTGATAAGCCATCTCACAATTTAAAAGTAAAAAAAATTTTAAAAAGTAAAAAAAAAAAAAAAAAGCGCCATCTCGTAATTTAAAAGGATGCTCAAATCTATTAAGACAATAAACAATTATTTTGCGAAGATACCAAGAATGCCCCAATTCCTTTTAGGAAAATCTAAAGACTAAGATTTTTAAAAAGAACACTGGGACAAAAAGCCATAAAACCCTAAATCTTATATCCAAGGAACATTATAGTTCTTTCGAGAACTCTATGGTGATAAAGAAAGGTTTGGAATACTGCAAATTTCTATTTTAAATGTTAAGAATAGCAATAAGCAAATAGAGCCAATCAAATTTAACAGAATAGAAAATATGTTTCCACGCCTGGTTAATTACTGATGTTAGAATGTGGAACCATTTTTAGTGTCAACATATTAGATGACAATTTTTCACAGTGAAAAAACCTATTATAGGGATCTTCAACTGGAGGCTCATTCTGTATATATACTCACTACATGTTGTAATTTATTTTCAATACTGTATTAAGATAACATTTTTGTAATAATGTAATTATTACAAAGTTAGTCTTTCTACATTTTTTTTTTTGAGACGGGATCTTGCTCTGTTGCCCAGGCTGGAGTGCAATGGTGTGATCACAGCTCACTGCAACCTCTGCCTCCCTGATCCTCCCACCTCAATCTCCCAAGTAGCTGGGTCTACAGGTATGTGACACCAGACTCTGTTAATTTTTGTATTTTCTAGAGAGATAGGGTCTCACTATGTTGCCTAGACTGGTTTCAAAATCCCGGGCTCAAGTGATCCACCTGTCTTGGCCTCCCAAAATGCTGGGATTACTGGCACAAACACCGCACCCGACCCTCTGCAGCTACTTACTCCTCCTAAGCATCAGCCCTCTCATCTCTGAAATATGGCTCTTCCTGCCTACCTCAAATATTGGCTGTAAGGATGAAAATAAACAATGAAGATAAGGGTTTTGCAGAGCTTCTGGTCCATAACAAGTACTTAATACTTCTTTTGGACATATATTTAATAAGTGCCTACGTGTACCATATGCTGATCTAGGTGTTGGAAATTCCTAATAGAAGAAACTCCTTTTTCTCATGGAGCTTACAATGTTGATGCCAGTGGCAAACGAGTTGACCCATTGTTACGTGGAAACAAATGGTATGAAAAGAACCTGGGGTAAGCAGATGGAAGAAGGGAGGAAGTGTTTGCGTGCACAAAGGCGCCATTTTACATAGGGTGTTAAGGGACACCTTCTAAAGATAAATAGGGGCAGGGGTCGCCGATGTATGGGGAAAAGCTTTCCGAGGAGAGCAAACACCAAGGGCAGAGTCCTGGGGAGGGTAAGCATGCTTGGAATATTTAAGGATCCAGACGGATTCCACGGGGGTGCAGCCAAGTGGGCTGTGGGAGGAGAAGGACATAAGGTCAGTGATGCACCAGGGGCACACCTGTCGTCTTGCAGGACTTGGTAAGCTCTTCGGATTTTTTCTTTCTTTCCTTTTTTTTTTTTTTTTTTTTGAGATAAGAAACCATTGAGGGACTGTCAGGAAATGAGGTGATCTACATAGATTTGAAAAGGTAACCTGCCAGGCACGTGGCTCACGCCTGTAATCCCAGCACTTTGGGAGGTTGAGGGGGGCGGATCACCTGAGGTCGGGAGTTCGAGACCAGCCTGACCAACATGGAGAAACCCCCGTCTCTACTAAAAATACAAAATTAGCTAGGCGTGGTGGCGCATGCCTGTAATCCCAGCTGCTCGGGAGGCTGGGGCAGGAGAATCACTTGAACCGGGGAGGCAGAGGTTGCAGTGAGCCGAGATCGCGCCATTGCACTCCAGCCTGGGTGACAAGAGCGAAATTCTGTTTCAAAAAAAAGAAAATTAACACACAGTAGCTATTATCAAATGCTGTAACCGTAAGTGATTTAATACATAGGAAATGAAAATTGCCTATCATTGTTCTTTAATCTGGTTTAAGTGGTTGAGCCTTATGACACTGCCATTTCTATGGGTCAAAAATGGTGGAATATTGTCATAAAATTCAACCTGATTTAAAGGATAGGGCAAGGAAAAAAAGCAAAAAAAAAAAAAAAAGCTTTAGAATAAAATATAATTGGATTATAATCCCAGACACAGGACTCACTAGCTATATTCTTGGGCAAGTTACTTAACTTCATCTTTCTTGGGTTTCCCCTTATTTGTAAAATGGGGATAACAGTCTAACCTAAGCCCAAGTTGTACTGATGATTAAACGAGATATGCATGTAGGGCATTCAGCATAGTGCCTAGGAGCTTAATAAATAAGCAGGCCATTAAGAAGGGGATTGCATCTTTTACACTAGCAGCATCAAAACCTTGATTTTGATTTTTCTAGGTACTGAAACAGCCTTCATTACTTAGAGACCATAGCTTTTTTGCAAGTTACTATTCCCTGCATTTAGAAAGTTCATCTTTAAACAGGCAATTCAGTAAGTAAATATTCTATGGCTCTAAAACAGATACGGCTGTTGGAGACTTTAAAACATCTGACAGTTACATTTTTAATGTTGTCTACCAAGGCTATTACATTTCCTCTGTCAAAGTAACTTAATTTTAAAAACGAACTCTGTGCTTGTTAAACGAAAAGGCCAGAAGGCTACTGGCTACTCAGCGTTCATTTGAAATTCTTATAGTGCCTTCAGTACAATTCAAACTTAGAGGTGATTCTCACAATTCATGTGAAGCAACATTTTACAAAAAAAATCACCTACGTTCACTGTTAAGTCAGAAGACAGAATGATTAACAAAATCTCAGCCGCGAATTACTCTCACGATGGCCAACTGGATATTAAATAACTCTGCATTATTTTAATGGAATGTTATAAAGGATTTGCAACAAAATGCAGACGTAGATTTAGGGACTGCCGACTTCTATAGATCAAGGACTTCATTGGTGCAGCTGAGGAAATTCTTCCAAACAAGTCTAAATGTTGGAAATCCACCAAACTGCAGAGAAAGACCTCTTGCCTCCGTATTCTTTCTTCATCTGTAAAAATGTTGACTTCTGCTTTTCAGACTACGCGCACAGCCTCTTTATTTCCTACTGCGGCTTCATTCCCTCACGGAACACTGACGCCATCGCGAAGGAAGCATTTCGAGCACGACTGACGCTCCCCTTATTATTTGCTAAGCCGCTGCGCTCGGGTCTGGCTACGATTTGCTTTCAGAATAACGGGAAGGTGCAACAAGATCGCTTCCCTAGAGGCGCGTCGCCCGCGTGGCCCGGACCCCCCACGCCCGCCCGCCGCCCCGTGGGTGCGCACGCGTGTCCGCGCAGGCTTCCCGCCTGGCGAGTGCAAGGCTCCTCTCCGCCGTGCTGCTTTCCAGCCTCTCAGCAAATCACGAACACCGAAAGAAGCCACGGCGGCGACGGGAGGGGCGTCGCGCGTGCTTCCCTCGGCGACAAAGCGGGAGCCGGGCGCGCCGGCCGAGGGCGCCCGGCGCAGAGTCCCGCAGAGGCGGACGCCGCGGCACGCGCCTCGAAAAGCCTCAAACTCTTATCCTCGGCTCTCCCGCCCCACCTCCGCCCCGCAGCCAAGACCCGCGCCGTGGCGGGCCCGACGGCCAAGGAAAGCCCACCAGCCCTCCGCACCGTGGGCGACGGGCCAAGACCCGGCCCTAAACGGCCAGACCCAGCCCCTAGTCGGCTGCCGCCCCCGCCCCACGCAGGCGCGCTCCGGGGCCCTCCCCTCCCCCACCGCGCGCTCGCGGGGCCCGACGGGGGCGGAGCGACCCTCGGAAGGGGCGTGGCGACCGGGCTCGACGCGCGCACGCGCTCTGGAGCCCCACGGCTACGTGTCGGGCCACGTGATGCCCACCCCGAAAGTCCCCCGTGAAGCAACAGGACGTTAAAAAAAAATTTCTCTTCTGCGGGGTGGATAAGAGGTTCTGAAAAAACTATAGTAACGGGAGGCGAGGCGGAGGCAGCGCTGGCGCGTCCCGCTGGAATTCCTCTCGCCTGCCGCGCCAGCCCCGACCGCGCCCGCAGCCCCACCCGCCCCGTGCCGTGGAAAGCCCCGCGCCCCCCCCGCGGCCGTCGGCCCCGCAGCCCACACCCACCCGCCCCGGGCGCCCCGCACGGCGGCGACCCAGTCCTTGCGCCCAGGCCCGCCGAGCGCCGCAGTCCGTCACACTCCCGTTGCCCCCGTCGCCCGCCCCGCCGGGGAGGCAGGGAGGAGGGGGCGCGGCGCCGGCGGCTGCCCCGGTCGCGGGGCGGCGGGCAGCAGGCAGCGGGAGCGCGCCGGCCGGGACCCGCTAACGGCCGCCCTGCGCGGCCCCGCCCGCCGCCCGCCCCCGGCCCTCCCCGCGCCGCTGCCCCTCCCCCCGCCGCCGCCGCTGCTGCCGCCGCCGCTGGCAGCGCCGCCTGAACTGAGGCGAACTCCGCCGCCAAGTGAGTGAGGAGGAGGAGGAGGAGAAGGAGGAGGAGGAAGAGGAGGAGCGCAGTCGGAGCGCGGCGGCAGCGGCAGAGGCGCCGCGGCGGGGACCAGCCCAGAGAGACCCCCCGAGCCCGCGGCACAGGCGGCGGCGGCGCTGAGCGGGCTCGACCAGCCGAGCGAGCGGCGGCCCCGGCTCCTCCTCGTCCGGCGCCAGCAGCCCGCGCCCCGCGCCCGCACTCGGCCAGCCGAGACCCGCCTCCCGCCCGCCCGCCGGCCTCGTGAGGGACGCGCCGAGCCGGGCGGCCGAGAGCGGCGGCGGCTGGGAGCGCGTCGGGCCCGGGCGGAAAGTGCCTGCGGGGGGCGGGCGAGCGCGCGGTGCCGGCCGCCCCGGGGCTCGGCGCGGGAGCCAGAGCGGGAGCCGGCGCGGAGCGGGACGCCGGGTCCCGAGCGGCCCGCGGCCGGGGCTCGCCCCCGCCCCTCCCTCCTCTCCGGCGGCGGCGGCGGCGGCGGCGGGCGGAGTGAGCTGCGGAGCCTGGAATATGGTCGGGGAAATGGAAACGAAGGAGAAGCCGAAGCCCACCCCAGATTACCTGATGCAGCTGATGAACGACAAGAAGCTCATGAGCAGCCTGCCCAACTTCTGCGGGATCTTCAACCACCTCGAGCGGCTGCTGGACGAAGGTGAGCGTCTCCAGGGCCCCGGCCCCGGCCCGACCCCCGCCGGGGCGGCCCCTTTCCCCGCTTGGGATGGTGGGGAGGGCGGGAAGGTCACGGCCGGGCGGGACCGAGCGCCGGGGGGACTGGGAGGCCAGGAGGGCGCACAAAGGAGGTGCCGGGCCGGGCTTGCGGCGGGCGGGCGGGCCGGGGTGGACCCGCCGGTGCCGGACGCCCCCTGCCCGGCCGGGACCCCGCGCCGCTGGCGTCCAAGTTGGCGCGTTGCGGAGGGCTGCGGGGTGAGCCCTGCGGCCCCTCTAGCTTCGGCGGTCACATTTCCGAGAGGTCGGCGGGGGCTGCGCGGACTCGGTGGTCCTCGCCGAGCCCTCCCGAGAGCAGGCCCACGCCGCGCCGCCGGCCTGGAGGACGCGTGTGCCCGGCGCGGGCCCCGCTCCTCCGCTCGGCCTCCCGAGCCTGCTCTGCGCGGACCCCCACCGCCCCGCGTTCGGGAGCTCTCCCCTCCCGTGAGGACTAAAGCGGGGTTTCGTGGTTGGGGAGTTGGTGCAGCTGTTCAATACTAAGTGGAAGTCAGTGTGGGGCTCGTTAGTTTAAAGAAATTCCGTAGGAGACCGAAATTATGCTGGCGTAGCCGACAAGGAGGACTAAGTGACGGCGAAAAGCACTTTTTTCCCTTTTGTTTGGGGAAGCGAGAACTGTTAGGGAGTTGAACTTCACTTTTCGGGGGTGGGGGGGGGGGGGGTGGAGTGCGAAATAACGCGATGACAGATCGGAGCGCAGCCTGAGTTAGAAGAACTTGGGCGGAGGGTTTGCTCCCGGGGACGCAGCCGCCTGAGTTTGTAGGACAGGGTTTCGAGACGTTTGGAAAGGGCGAAATAAAATTGAGCCAAAGTTTCCAAAAAGCTGTATGGAGCGCTGTGGGGAGTGAAGAATGACAAGAAGATTAATGTTGACCAACTTTGGAATTTCCTTAAGAAGTTCTCATAGCAGTACCTGAAGTATTAATTTCTAGTAGCTGTGGGTTTCTGTGGACGCCTAGAGAAAAAAAAGACCACAAAAAAAGTCTGTTTCGAAAATCGACTGGCCAGGAGTTTGTTTGTTTTTTTTTCCTGCTTAGAGGCACCACCGGAGGACTGTGTAAAGGAAACTGAAAACTACAGGTTGAAGAGATGAACAATGGAGTTTAGATTTTTCGCAAGAATTTCGAGATTTTAAAAATAGAGTCGGGGAACAGGAGTTTGAAGCTTGGGGAGTTGGAATGTCACTAGAGAACAAAAGGCCGGAAATGTTTCCATGATAAAAAATGGTTAAAGAAAAATCCCAGGAGTTCTGTTGTCTTGAAAGTCATAGAAACAACTTAAAAGTAGAAAATGGTTAGGTGTTACGGCTTTCTCGTCGTTTTGCTTCCGTATGTTAAACATACAGCACTCACCAACGTTGAAATGGGCATTTTCCGCTGTTGGAACAGCAAATCTGTTAATTTCAAGTTGCTCCAGAGAAAACCTGAGCTGTCCCTTTAAGGGGTTCTGCTTTTCCTATTTGTGTTGGCATTTGAAAGATTGTGGAGGCAGAAAACTTTCTGGAATGTCAAAAAAAAAAAAAAAATGCTGGAACTCTTAAATTGAGTATTTCCAAATGTGAGCGCTAAGGGGCGCCAGTTATTTTTTAACCATGGAAATGGTTGGAACAAAATGTGTAACATACTCAATCTGACTGACCTATATTAAATTTAGTTGAAACTTAAGTTATAGATTATTTGATTTGTCATAATGTGTTTATATAGTGTTTTCGAACATTGAAAATACTTTCCTTAAAATTATTGGCACAACTTTATGACGTTTCAAAATAACACTCTTACTGTCTTCTCCTTGGCATATTTTGGTTAAGTTAAAGTTTTAGTAGTATTAGTAACAATTTCTGGTGAAAGTTTGTTTTCTTGAGTGCAGTTGTTTAGAAGGAATCCTTTATCGACGATAAAATGAAAATAGGCCTTGGCAATATTTAGGGTTAATTAAAATTAAATTGCATTCCTGAAATGTCGAATTCAAAGACTATAGGAGATTCCAAAAAAAAGTTTGAAAATACTTTCACCTTATGTATACTATTTAAAAAGCTGCATACTTTTGCGTTCTTTAGTTTTAAAAGGCTTCTTGTGCTTTTATGTTGATCTAAAATCTCTAAATTTAGAGCTGATTCCTTGTTATCAAGTTTCCAACCTTAGGCTTTAATAATTTTTAATCTTTCAAATCCAGAAATTTCAATTATGTCATTGTCTCTGACAAAGGCTTATTTCTCTCTGGTTGGAAATAGTACTCGTTTGCGTTTTAAATGTAAGAGACCACTATGATATCTCCTAGATAATGTTTGTTTCCCCTTCCCCTTTTAATGTGGTTTACTCCATCTCTTGTCTTGCTATCTTTAGTTTTAGCCTTGTCAATTCCCCAGTGTAAAGATTGCTTCTGTGTGGCATATAGTATGTTTAAAATGGGCAATATAATGACGAGGAAGTTTGATTGTTTTTTATCAGACCAGTACAAACATGCAGGAAAAAGGGCTATTCCTTAGTGTGGAATAAGCGGCTTCCTGTAATTGTTAGCCTTGTTATAAACTTAATTTGACTTAAGAAAAATATTGGTTTCTGAAGTCCATCACATTTTTTTTTCTGGATGATTTAATTGTGAAATTTGGCATCTTGTGCTTTACCCCTTTGTGGTTTGTCATTGTCCAAAACAAATTGATCATGACTTTTGTTTCTGGTTAGGCATTACTTTTTTTTTTTTGCCTATAATGCTTGGCTGAAAAATTACTTTTAAATTTAGATAAAATTTAGTAAAAATTTTACTTTAGTGATTGGTTTGATGAAGTTAACATCGTGCTTAGAGTAGATGTATTTTCTGATAATTAGGAATTTTAAATGAGATTTTAAATTTTTTATTTTAAAATATTTTTCAAAGAATAAGCTTTTTAAAAATATGCTTGTCAGCCTAAGAATTTCCATTTGGCTAGTTACAAATTTGAGGATTAAGTGTGCTGGTTTTCCCAGTTGATGAAGACTTGGATGTTTTAGAATGAGTATTTTAATTCCTTGCCAAGTTAACCTTTAGTCTGTATCTTGACTGTGGACAGTCCTTTTGTTTTACTGCTTGTTTTTGTTTTGTTTTGTTTTTTGCTGTTGCTGGTGGTGGGGGTGTGTGTGCCAGCTCTTCCACTGAAGTATCTTCAACACGGTTGTTTTTTAAAGTTGTGAATACATTTTAGGTTGGGCCCATCATAAAATATAAAGGACATAAACTTGAGTTTGAAACCTTTTATTGAAGATAGAGATGATTATAGGATTACACATAAAACCTAGGTCTTAAACTGCTCTACCTTTAGAGAGACGTTTTCAACTGAACCCTTAGAGCAGTTAATATATGGTTTTTAAAAAAACAGACTTTTCTTGTCATGAGAATGAAACAACAGTAGTTGAATGCAAATTGTTATAATAAAGTTTTGTAATTTAGAATCGAGAAGGTGAAGAGTACGGTCTATTAGACTTAACAATCCTGTATTAGGGGAAAATGGAGAACTAGTATTTTAAAAGCTGATTTTGAGTTTTCAATTTTTTAGGTGGAGGTGGGCTTAAAGCTGCTGATAGGGAAATAAAAAATGTGTAATGAGGAAGAACAGTCAATCTTTTTATCGTGGATATCAGAAAAATTAGTGTGTGGCTCAGAAAAAGAGAGCAGATGGATTAGAATGCCGTATTACTGATTTGAAAATATATTTTCATTTTCTGATGGTCTTTTTGTGTTTACAGTAAACTTTCTGTCTGACCTCAGTTTAGTTTATACCCTGCCTGCTCCCTCTCCTTTAAATATATGAGTAAAAATATTTCGTTAAAACTTGCTTAAATAGTTGCTATTTTTTCATGTTAATGTTTATTTTCACTTCTTCTGCCTCTGTTATTGGATGTATCATAAGGTTTTCTTACCATAATTTTTTTTTTTCCTGAGAATTCATTTACAAAAGCCTTGACTTAAGAATTATATGGTGGTTGGTATTGAGAGGACTCTTGCTATACAGATTTCTTACAAAAAGGTTTTCTTTTTGTCTGAAGAAGCAATTACTGTTGTCAGTAATCATCATCTGTAACAAACAGATTTTAAGGTGAAATAATCTGTTCTTTAGAAACTAAGATATTGCTTTTGTACACAGTCCTTGAATTAGTTGTAGCAAGAAGGAAGCTACTATTTATAATCACTTCTTTCCATTATCTTTTCTCACCCAGGAGGTGTCAGCAGCTATATATTGGCAGTCACGGAAAAGATCAGTTGTATCATTATGGGGCATTTATTAAACATTCATTCTGTACTTTTAAAGCTAAATTCCCCTGTAGGTGGAACGTGATTCCTTTGGAAACTGTATCCAGTTTACATGTTTTGTAGTAAAAGTTGTATCCGACTGTAACACAGTTGAGTTGATAGAAATAGGTCTCTTTGCTAGTCACATTTACGAGTGTATTTTGGGATGAACACTTTTTCTTAAATGACTGAGAATGTCAAGTTAAATCAAGTTAATTTGACTTCTTAAATGCTTTATGCACATTATATTTCTGTTAATGCTTCACTAGTCACTGTCGCTGTCCTGGAGCTGATTGAAATTGGTCAGTTTCCCATAAGAGCAAATGGTTTTTGGTTTCCTTTTTCAGGGAAATAGATTTCTGTGATGAAAGAAGTGAAGTATAATAAAACCCTCATGCTTTGACCTGGCCTTCACCGAAGCATGATTCAGATTCTTTTTTTGAGGCCAATATACTTAGACATGTAAGGGCTTTTCTTTTCTTTTCTTTTTTTTTTTTTTTTTTGGTGGTTTTTTTCTTTCCTTTTTTTTTTTTATGGTTTGGTTTGGTTTTTATATCAAGGGAATTACACCAGTGTGATCATAGGAGCAACTTTTTATAAACTGGAACTACAGTTTAATTTACTTGAGAAATTCGGTGTAGCTAATACATTTGTTTGATTTATTTGTTTGATGTTGCAGTTGTAAGCAAAACTTGCCCTTCTCTGTTGGAGATGGAAAATGCTGTGACATTGTTGGTTTTTGTTTGTTGATAACTTAAAAGGCAGCCCACTGAGCAACTTTCTGCTATTGGTATGTCAGCTGTTATGAACATATCCAAGGTTCTATTTTAAGGCCAAGGGATGGGGAGTGGTGAGTGGGCCTATGTTAGGAGGTCACACAGATATATACCAGCTTTTTATTTACATGATCAACGGGACTTCATTTTTTTCTCCAGTCCCTCCTGTGTTTGACATTAAGACAGCTTAATGTGAATTTTAAGTGCAATAATGTGTTGTTTACCCTTAATGATAACTTTTAGGGAATATTTATACCCCTTTAAAAAAGTTTTGGGCCCACAATAGCTAGATTATTTCGTGTTTTACAGTTATATTTTTTACTTAACAGAAAATCACAACTAACAATAAACTTTTATGGTGAATATAGTTTGTTATCTTAGTGGGACTGTTAAGAAATTTGTTTATAACCCCAGTCTGTGTTAGGTACTACCTTCTATGGAGTGATCATTATAGTTAGCATTGGAATATTATTACCTGTCTGCCCTCTTAAAATTACTTTCTTGAAGGTGCCTACCTTAGAGCCTGGCATACACTTCTCAGATGTTTGTTGAATTAAACATGTTGACATCTTACCTCCTTTTTTGATTTCTAGTTTCTCAAAGATAGGGTATGTGCACATGGTTTAAAAAAAAATGAAAATCTGAAAGTGACATTAGAAATATTGTCTAATAATTTTAAGAAATGAAGCAGTTGTGTGATTGTTGATAGTTTTGTGCCCTTAGAGGAAAAGGCACTTATATGTTTTCTTAAAAACAACTTAAAAACATGTCATGTTATTTGTAGTACTTGCTGCCAAGGTGCTTAATTTTACTTTACTGTCATTGTTGGGAAGGAGATTTAGGAAGATAAAATTGCTTTACTTAAATAGTATAGTTTCTTGTCAGTCCTTATACCAAAGGGTATCAATTCATAAGCAGAGAAAAACTACCAGTGCTCATCTCAGCTCTTGGAAAATTTTGGCATTTATGGAATTATATAGGTAAACTCCCCACCCCGTTAGTTACCCTTTTAAAAGTCCCCACATATATAGTTCTTGTACTCCATGCAGGGCACAATAGATAGGAATGATTTCTTGTCCCTAAGTGCTGCTTTGGTGTGTTCAGGATAACGACTGTATTTGATTGAGTGATTTTAGTTTAAAAGAAAGCTGAGTATAATCATATGTGGCTGATTGTCATTTAACACAAATAGCTATGTTTTTAAACACAGGTGTGTCTTTTAATTTTAAACAGTGCCATTACTTAGAAAACTGATAAATTGAAGTTTTCACTTAGCTGAAACTAAGCTCTTTTATTTCTTTTTTCTTTTTTTTTTTTCAGTTGGAGTCTCGCTCTGTCACCCAGGCTGGAATGCAGTGGCGTGCTCTCGGCTCACTGCAACCTCTGCCTCCTGGGTTCAAACAGTTCTCCTCCCTCAGCCTCCCGAGTAGCTGGGATTACAGGCGCCCGCCACCACGCCCGGCTAATTTTTGTATTTTTAGTAGAGACGGGGTTTCACCATGTTGGCCAGGCTGATCTTGAACTCTTGACCCCATGATCTGACCGCCTCGGCTCTTGACCCCATGATCTGACCGCCTCGGCCTCCCAAAGTGCTGGGATTACAGGCGTGAGCCACCAAGCTCTAAACTGTTTATTACTGTGCTTTAGCAGTAACAGTGTTTGAAAATCTGTGATGAATTTTTAAAAAATATATTGCAGAAGTGATTTATCTAGAATTCTTACAATTAGCAAGAAAAGGACTGCACTTAATGTTTTCGTCTTCAGTTTCTTGATGCGGAAACTCTAGTTTGAAAATCCGGCAATCCTATCAAGTCTAACAAAATAAATTATGTTCATAAAGTTGCTTCATGTATTAGTCTAATATTTTTGTAGAACTAAATTTTGAGGCTGGGGAAATGAATCGATTGTAAGATTTATATCACATTATTTATTATAAGCAGAATGTGTCATATTCTGCTTAGCAGATAAGCAGATATTGAAGTATCGGAAAGAACATAATTAGTCGGATGTGGTGGTGTGTGCCTGTAGTCCCAGCTACTTGGGACGCTAAGGAGCGAGGATTGCTTGAGCCCAGGAGGTCAAGGCTGCAGTGTTATGATCATGCTACTGCGCTCCACCTTGGGCAACAGTGAGACCCTGTCTTAAAAAATAAAACATCAAAATGCAGTTACATCCATAAAGTGGCTCCACATAATGGTCACAATGTAAGTAAAGGGCATGTGTGTGCAGGCATTTATATCTGTAAGTGAAGACATGCAGTGAATGTGAGCTGGGCTTTGTGAGTACTGGGGCTGGTTAAGTTCCAGCTGAGAAAGGTTGGCCCCGGGATTGAATAAGTAGCTGGCCTTAAGTAAGCACCTCGCTTTTGCTTTAGTGCAGGAGAGGTCATTGTAGAGACTGGGCCTGATCTCCTGGTCAGTAGCAAATCATTGGGGAGCCCTTGGTTTTTAAGCTGATTTTATAGTTTGAAATATATAGGAAAAAACAAACAAAAAATAATACATTTTAAGAGTAGAATTAGGGAAATGCATAGTAAGAAAACAAACATGCAATTTTAAAATTTGAAACCGAGCCTGGTGAGGTGGCTCATGCCTGTAATCCCAGCACTTTGGGAGGCCGAGGCAGGTGGATCACGAGGTCAAGATTTCGAGACTAGCCTGGCCAATATGGTGAAACCCTGTCTCTGCTAAAAATTAGCCGGGCATGGTAGAGTGTGCCTACAGTGCCAGCTACTTGGGAGGCTGAAGCAGAAGAATCGCTTGAACCTGGTAGGCGGCGGTTGCAGGGAGAGGAGATTGCGCCACTGCACTCCAGCCTGGGTGACAGAGCGAGATTCCATCTCAAAAACAAATAAAATTTGGAACCTTTTTTGTAAACTCTTCAATGTCATAGTTTTACAGGGTCTCAAACTTACTTTGCAGATTATATCAGAGAATTGTGTTTTAGAGCTGCAGGGGACCTGAGAGTTGGGAGTATATGTTCATTTCATAGGTGCAAAGACAAGTGGGCAGCAGAGCTAGAGCAAGACACTCACTTCTGCCCTCTGTTCCATTTTGTGGCGTGCCTCTCCACAAGGGGAACTGGAGGGAAAAACCTGGAATATTTCCATATGCTAAAAATCTGCTGCTGTTGCCTCAAGTTGTGAAGGTAAAGAAGACAAACCAAATGATTTTTTGCTAATTCTGTGATATGCTGGTTTTGAACAAATGATGGTCAGATTCTTAGAACTAGAATTTATTTTTAACGATAACTTTCTAATTAAGAGGCTAAAAGTGAGAAAGCCATTTTTAGAGGATTTCAGCTCATTCACTTCTTTGTAAGCAAAGGCTAGAGCCTCAGTTTTTTGAATAATGTAAAAATTGTTGCTGCTATTATTTTTACTACTCAAGAGGAAACATTTTTGGCTGGGTGATTTAATAGAGAAGTATGCTATTGCTAAGTGATTCAAGTTAGGAATGTATACTTGTATCAGTTTTAGATCAGCCTGGGGTAAACAGCCCAATGATATATCAGGTAGATAACTGAAGAGTGACACCCAGGAGGTGGATGGTTATGAATTGAATGGAAACGGTGCTGCACCAGATAGCCACCAGGTAGCTACTATATCGTATTCCTGATGCCAGCATCTGGGGGATGATTGCTCATTTCAAATAATTCAAACAAATTAAATGTAAGCCACAGTTCTTTGCTATGTTACAGCAATTATATCCCTTTGATACAGTTGTTACATGGCAGGTGAATACATTTTTTTAAGAAAAAAAAATTTCAAACTGGGATCAAAAAAATTACCCTGAAACCGCATCTAATTGTCTATTGTCGCTGATTCCACCGTGGTTGCAGTGATGCCATTATCATGAGAGTATTCAAGTTTTAACTCTGTATGTGTGTGCCTGCACATGCGTGAGCCAGCATAAAGATGAAATGAATTTATGTTTTTGTGCATATGCTAATGAGACCCTGTGATGAAGTGGTAAGCATTCTTGTACTATAGACCTGGGATCTAATCATGACTCCGCAATTAACTGGTTTGGTGATCTTGGGTGAGATAACTAATGTCTCTGAACCTCAAGCTTCTTCATCTGTGAATGAAATTATCAACTGCCCTGCCAACCTCAAATCCAAATACTCTGAAGTTGATGGGTATTCAGAAGAGCCTCTCATACTATAAAGTAGCAGCATCACTGCTTGGTTTTTAATTTTTTTTTTTTTTTTAATTTTGTGTGAGTCTTTCTCTGTTGCCAAAGCACTGGATCTTGGCTCACTGCAACCTCTGTCTCCCAGGTTCAAGTGATTCTCCTGCCTCAGCCTCCCGAGTAGCTGGGATTACAGGCGTGCACCTCCACACCCGGCTAATTGCTGTATTTTAGTAGAGACAGGGTTTCACCATGTTAGCCAGGCTGGTCTCCAACTCCTGACCTCAGGTAATATGCCTGCCTCAGCCTCCCAAAGTTCTGGGATTACAGGTGTTAGCCACTGCCCCCGGCCTGCGTCATCTGCTTTCTATCAACATTTTAAAATCGCTTATGATAGGATAAACAATTAAATAAGCAAAACAGCTTTTAGAGAATGAGAAAAGAAAAAGAAAGATGATGTATCCATGTAGGTTCAGCTAGTTTTTATGTGCATGAGAGTCACTACTAACATTCTGGTAGTTTAGAGGATGTCACTTTGAGCTGAACTATCTAGTTATGTTTATTTGAGAAGTGGAACCTGAGTTGATATTAACAGCTGGTATGATTTAATGAGGTGAATGGGAAGGTGGAGGATGTTCCAGGAGAAGGGAAGGTGCAGCATTGCCAGCACCATGGTGATGGGCAAGGCTTAGGAAATAGGTACGGATTTAGTTAGTTGGAATGGCAAATGCATAGATAGAAGTAGTGGGAATAGATAGAGACTACAGAAAGCAGACCAGGTTAGGGCTAGATTGTGGTGGGCCTTGAAGGCCAGAATACATAGTCTGAATTTTATTCTGAAGGTTGTAGGGAATCTTTAAGGCTTGGATTATTTGGGGGTGTCAGAATGAACTCTTTGTGCATAAACTGAGAATGTATACAATATATATGGGTTTAAAGTAGACATTGGATGAAGTGTGAAGAGTCAAACTATTATATACGTGGCTAACCCTTTAGGAAAATTTTTTGAGTAGTGATATTTTCTCAAAATAGTATTAATAAAAATATTTATATTGAGTTTTCTGTATTTTAAACTCCTTAAAGATTTTTTAAATTTTGTTTTAACTAGAAACAAGTCTTTGTTTTCCTTACCTACAGGTTAGTGTATTCATCCTGAAGGATTGAGAACATGTGGGGCTCATTTGTTTAGCTGTCAGAGCCCAATTTTTAGTTAGAGAATTGAGCTTTTATTTCTATATGAGCTAAAGACAATTGAAGAGACTCTTGGAGAAAATCTTAGGAATTCTTGAATTAATTTGCCTTGAAGAAAATTTTGTCCCAATTTCAGAGATCCTTTAAATATGTTTTACCAAGTTTGATGCGGGCTTTTAAAATTTAATTGTATTAATTTTTGTGTTTATTTTAGGTAAATGAGAGATATCTTGACATTCTATCCCTAGAGAGATACATATTTGTGTATCTTTAAAAGTTAACACTTCCTTACATAGTGACATTACACTGAGCAAGATGGATTAATCCTACAGATAACGTAATAACCAGTCCATATTCAGATTTCTGTAGTGGATCCCCTGATATTCTTTATAGCTGGATTGTTCAAACCAGAATCTTACTCAATACTGCTCATTAAATCTGGTTGTTACGCCTTTTTAAATCTAGAACCATCTCTTTTTTTTTTTTTTTCAAATGACATTGATTTAACTTGTTCAGGGCTTGTTCCTTTATGCCCTGTGTATCTATTAACATTGGAAGCTAGTTCTAAAGTAGGTTCAAGAATAGCATCTTCCACTGGAGTACTTCATAGGTGCTGCTGTGTACTTTGTTATCTTACATCAGGAGGCACAGTAACTGGCTCTGCCATCAGATAAGGAAAGATTGATACCTGGATTAGAGTGGTGATAGATGGATCCTTGTACTTTAAAGGTAGTTTTTTTTGTTTTGTTTTGTTTTGTTTCCCCACTTGGAACCAGAAGGTGCCCCATCGACCAAAGGTGCCCCGTCAACATTCACACCTGGTTTTGACCAGTTTTTTGCCTGAATCAGTTTCATCAGAGCTTGCACCATGATGATACTTTAATTCTGCCATTCTTTCTGCAATTACTTGGCATCCTTTGAAAGGTACAGCTTTCTGACCCCAACACGGAAATACATTGCGATTTTGAAGTGAGTTTCTAATGGGGCAAGCCAGATATATGCTGCTGCTTATTATTACTTGGTTCTCAAAGTAAAGTGTTGGTTTGCTAGTTGCTTCAAATGGAGACCAATGAATTTTTTCTCTCTTTTCTAATCATCTTTGTAGACTCATGGATTTCATAGATTCAATGTACTTAAGTCAACTATAATTAATTTTGATGTTAAAATTATTACAACTTTAGCCATTGATAATTAAACTGGCTCCTGTGTCTGTTGAACTGCTGCTTGCTTTCTGGGGCACAAGGCTTCCCTTGTGCCTTGTCTGCCTTGCCTGTTCTGGAGCTACACTTGGCCATTTCTCCAATAGGAATGGTATGAAATACTTGAATTTAGGTGTTAAACATGTTCATTACTCTCAGGATGTGATTACTTCTGAGCCATTTTCTATGGACAGTATTGACTTTAAAATTCATTCATTCATTTTTATATTTTCAATTCAATTTTTTAACGTTACTGTTAATTTTATACTCGTACCTTTTTTTTTTTTTTTTTTTTTTGCTGGCCACAGCTAAACTAATGTTGTTCTTGATGGTGACATACTTATTTGCTTTATTCTACAATATTAAGGAAAATACTTTCAAAATAACAAAATTAATAATATTACTAATAGCAGTAAAACTATCTTTAAAATTTTTAAATTTGTTTTAGACATGTTACCAATAATATAGCCAGTGACCCATTTTTCTGGTTGATGACAATTATTTTCCTTTTTTGGTGGGGGGGTCCTCATTCTGTGTATACTAAGTTTTAATTTCTACTGAATCTTGTTTTTGACTTTTTGATGCTGTCATTTATTAGCTGTGTTCTTTTGTTGTACTTACTGCTTCTATTAGCTTTTACCTTATGCTCAGCAGACATGGAAAATACACATATATTTTAATGTCAGGTGCGTGCGTGTGTGTGCCTGCATGTGTGTGCGCGCGTGTGTGTGTGATGGCAATATGATCCAGAAAGATAACTTACAAGGAGATGGTTGTTTATACTAGTGCTTTGTATCTTAAGCACGAAGGGTAGGGAAAAAAGAATATGACAGGCAAAATGTTTCAATTTAGTGAATTCTTCTGAATAATATCAGTAAAAATATATATAGATCTTTAAAGCTTTTAAAGTCATATGAAGTAGGGGAAACCTCATAGGTAGAAAGTAAGTCTTAAAATTGTATTTCTTAGTAGTTGCAAAATCTCTAGTGCAAACTTGTTGTCATTAAGAACTTTTAGTAGTAAGGAACTTATGTTCCAGCAGATGGGGATGTTAGTACACAAAAGAGAGCACTCAGTGATTAAAATGTGTTGAGAAATAACCCTTTTGCCAGAATAGGAAAATGTTCTCCTTTAAATTGTAAGGGAAGAGTTGCTCAGGAATGTGACAAATAACAGTTACCTAATTGAGTATTTTCATTGGCATGTGAAAAAGTTGTCATAGTTCTTTAAAGAACTTGTCTTTTTAAGAGACTATATGTTGGTATGTTGACCATATTAAATGTAACTAGTTTAGTACATCAGATTGATTGCAGCTATTTTCTGAAATAGTTTCTGCCTTTACAACTCAGTTGTTTGAAGGGTTTTTGTTTTGGTGGGTGACTGAGTCACATATATTGAGAGGTATCCTGTTTGTACGTTTTCTTTGTAATTATAAAGTCTTTAGGCAGTTTATTTCTGTTTATTAAAATAAATCAGAAGAAAATGTGTCATAGTTTACTATATGTTATATGAAGAGAAAGTTCTTTTGGGGATCATAGTTTTATCATAGTAATAAAAAATTATCAGCAGTAAAAAAGATAGTCTTATCTCACTTTTATTATAGTTTATAGCATTACGACATACTGTTAGCTTTTTTAGTAGGTAAATACTACATAGATTGCTTTAACATATGCTTTGCAATTGTTGAAATACTGCTCATTTAAGTTCCTTCTTAGATGTGATTCAGAAGTGTACTTTAATGTATTTAAGTTATATTTTCCTAGTTCAGTTATATTGAGCTTTTTTTTTTTTTAAACTGTCAAGGCAATTTAAAATACTCTTGCCTTCAGTGACTTGAAATTGAACTCTGCACAGGAGAGAAGAATATGTCTTGTTTCTATATAGAGAACCAAGGAGGAAGAGATTGACTTTGCCACCTTTGTAACTGATAATAACTTGCATTTTAGTCCCTGCTCCCCAGCCCCACTTTTTTCCTTTTCTGTTATTCCTAAAATGTAGAGAATTGGAGATCGATCCACAGATTTTCAGTTCATCTTTGGCAGTAGCATGGTTTGTAACTTTTTTCATTCCTGGAAGAAGCAGTGGTGAGGGCACAGAGATAGCGTAGCACATTGTCTTTGAACCTTAATGGGAATTACTTCTTTTCAGGGAAATATAGCAATGGCCAATTTTGTCTATACATTTTAAGATTGTTTCTTATAGTTGTTAGAGATTTTATGAGAAGCTTGAATTTCTTTCAGTAATCCTAAAGAACTGTTATAAAGAACTTATTTATCAGAAGAAATATTCCTTATTGGGAAAAACTAAAATATATCAATTAAAAAGTTAAAAGTACTCATCATGCACTGATAGCTGCTCTTAATGTTTCCTTGTAGTCCCCCCCCACCAGTGTTTATGGATGTAGCAAAATTGGAATTACGGTTTTTAAAAAAAATTATATCATGAGCAAAATTTTTCCTTGCCATTTCATATTCTTTGCAAATATAATGTTTATAGTAATATATTTCATGCTGTCGAGGTATATTATAATTTACTTAACTAATCTGTTGGACTTGCCACTTTGCTTTCAGGAAATGTGTGTAATGATAGCATTAAGTGGCTTTAGAAGTTACTTTTTTAAAAGCCTTAAGTTACAAAATACTGTAACTGGGAATTATGAATACCAAACTCTTATTTTTGCAATGCAGTTAATCTGAAATAAGCATTTTATGTTGCATTGCAGTAGAAACTGGTTGTTAGGATGCAACGTGATTTTCGAATAATGTCAGAGTTGCATATTTCATGTATTAGTTTTTAGTGACTTAACATACTTAATTGAAACTTTTCATTCTATTCTAGGCTGTTTGGTTGTATGCTATTAATATGTGTGCGATGTTATGAGGGACACACTAAAGCTTCAAATTCATTCCTTCAAGTTATCTCAGTAGTTGGAAAGAATATGAAAATAAGAGTAACAAAGGAAATAGAAACATACCAAGAAGACTAAAGACTGGTGCTAAAGAGGGTGTTTTTGGCTGAGGAGGCTATGGAATGTTTCAGGAGAGGAGGTAAAATTTCATCTGGCTCTTAAAGGACAGGTAGGATTGAAGTGGAGAACAGGTAAGGGAGTGGCGTTCTAGACACAGGGAACGGTGTTCTTGAATGTGGGAACATTCTGAGTAGGAAGGTGTAAATAATTCTCTATTAGAGAGAGCTTTTTATACCTTTGGTCTTAGCTTTTTCCTTTATCTGCCTCCATATTTCTGTTTTTAGTCCAGATTTTCTTATCTCTATCCTGTACAGGCATTACATTATAGAGTGATATATTAATGTGGTAGATTGCTGTGATTGCTGCTGTCCTTCTCTTCCCTTCATTTTCAGATGTTCTTTTTTCTTGACTTTGACTCTCTTTAGGTTTTTGGAGAAGAGGGGTATCTTACTGCCTAACTTTTAATTTTAACTATTGTTTATCTGTATGCTTAATTTGGCTTTTTATTTTTTTTGTTTTCCTAGTGCATTTGGATTTTACTTAGCTTTTATTATGAAGCCATGTGTTTCAGTTTTTTTCTGTATGTGTAGGTGATTGGGCTTATGAATTGATCAGGAGCATGGAGGAATAGGTACATCTGGATTAGCGAGTGTGTGAATTCTTGAGCTGATGGGCCTAAGCTCTAAAGGATAGATTAGTTGTCAGCATATTCTGGTCTAGATAGTATGGCATAGTTTTTACCAGTATGCTTTCTTTTCCCCATCTTCCCAGTTTGCTTTTTACTCTAATGGCTTGAAAAAGTATAGGTTAGGTTGGAAGTGAGAGAACAAAAATCTGCTAATTTAACTCTGAACAAGGAAGGCTTTAGGCTGATGTTTGAAAAGTGTGTTCCATGGAATACTGGTCTCCTGAGGTAGTCTGAGAAAAGAAGGGTCCTGTAGTCCAGGAAGTTCTGCATACTCCTTTTGTGAATTCAGGATGTGTTGCCATATTAAGTCTCCAGGATTTGCAGTCAAGAAAGTTAACTTGGTTTAACTGAGCATTTTCTGAAATTACTTGGTTAAGGAAATACGGTTTTTCTTTCTTTTATTCTTGGTACTAGTTCTGAGGATATGTTAAGGGAAATTTTAGGGGATTGTTAAAGATCTGTGGATCCTTGGGTGGAGGCAGGTTTAAACAATAATTGTTTGGGAATCTTAATTTTGAATGAGAGTGCTGGCTCAAGTCAAATCAAAGTACCCCTTGGAAAAAAAAAAGTTATATTATTCCACTTAGGTTGGGCTTCAGGTTTCAATTGAAAGGAAGCAAGAAAACTGTCCTTGTCTGGCTTTCATTAAATAACAATTCAGTCAAATGATTTCAGTAATGAATTTTGTCTAACTCAAATGCATTTGTTATTTAAATAAAAATTAAGATGTGCTGTTTTTTAAAAATGTAATTCTCTAAATAAAAAAAATTAACATAGAATCCTGCCAGCTTAAACATCAAACTGAAACTTACTTTAAAATAGGTATATACAGAGAAATATGCTCATGTTGTAACTCATGCCTGGTTTACATCTACATTTTTTAAATTTGGGAATGACTGAATTGTGAGGTGAAGAGGAATTAGTAAATTTTGGAAAGAAAAATACTTATCTTTGTTAGGTCATTTAAACAAACATTAAGATGCAATTTTGTGAGATCTGTCAGTAACACCGGTTGTTTTCTGTGAACTTAGATTTTAATCTATTAATAGAATATATTATCTCCCCTCATTCAGTTATATCATAAAGTTTTGGTGACCTTTGTAGCCTTTATAAAAGGGAAGTCTAAGGGTGGATAGTAGAATAGCATTTTATTTGGAAGGCCCTAAAGATTTTTGTAAAAAAAAAAAAACAAAAAACTGTTCTTATTAAAAAAAAAAAAAAACCCTGTAATTCTGCAATTTTAAAGCGGGTGTGGATTTGAGAGATCGTAGACCCATTCTTCATTATATATGTAAATGCTGTTCCTTTACAAAGGATATGAATACATTTTATATTTTGGAAACTGCTGGTTTCAGGCATGTTAGATCATTTGGCTCTTGGGACAGAAATATATTTAAGTTACATTATTAACAAGTAAGAGTACCTTTGGGCCTGATCCCCTCTAAGCAGAATAATGTCATGACTGATAATTGTGTAATGTGGCTACCTTCTGTTGTGAATAGTCTTAATTAATTTAATTCTGTTTTGTTGCTGGAAGTATCTACCCAGGGTATTTTAAATTCTTCCTCCAAATAAGAATACAATCAAGCATCTAATGCACAGTCATATTATCATTAAATTGATGTTAAACCAAAGACAAAGGCTCTCCTAGGTAGTGTCCATTAGCATTTTCCAGCAGGGTGAATCTAGGTCTAGGAACAATTCACTGAATATTTGCCTAAGGGTTTTCACTTTCCATGTTTTACACAATATAAATAATTTAAAATCCCCCCCCTTTTTTTTTTTTTAAAGAGATGGGGTTTCACCCTGTCTAGGCTAGAGGGCAGTGGTGCTATCATAGCTCACTGCATCCTCTAACTCCTGGGCTCAAGCGATCCTCCTGCCTCAGCCTCCAGAGAGGTAGGACTGCAGGGGTGAGCCACCATGCCTGGATAATTAAAAAAAATTTTTTTTTTGGTAAGAGACAGGGTCTCACGATATTGCCCAGCCTGGTCTTAAACTTAAGGCCTCAAGTGATCCTCCTGTGTCAGGTGTCAGCCAGTAATTTAAAATGTTTTGTTAAGAGTAGTCTCTCTCTTTCCCCACTTTGTTATAGATCTGAGTCATTTGCTTTGGAATAATGTGATAAAAGTCTAAGATAAAGGATTGCTAGACTAATATTTAGACATGTTTGTGTTGATGTTCTGTACAGGTTGTAGTTTTATAGGCTAGAATAGACTAAATTTTGAAGGGTGATTAGTTAAGAATAGACTAAATTTTGAAGGGTGATCTGAAAAGACTTTATATTGTTCTTTTGTAAATCTTGAGTAAAAGAAAATAACCAAACAGGGTAGTGAGTAGAGAGATAAATGAATCCCTTAAGAGAATGATAGTAATAAAGGCAGGTGGAAGTAAGATCAGAGTTAGAAAATCTTAGATTTGTTTTAGGTTATAGGAAAATTGATTTATTTTACATGTTGGTAAAAGGCACAAGAGGCTTCTTTTTACATTTTACTTTATCAAAGTGAAACTTTTTCATTTGATTTTTAAATTGGAACACATTAACTGAATGGCATAGGATATATCATAGTGATGTTGTTTAGGTACATGGTAACTGCAGATAGGTCTCAAGTTGACCACATTTGAATGTTACATTATTACTTTGTGGATATTTAAAGACAGATGGCTTGAAGCCTGAGAAGGGGGAAGGAGTGAAAGTATAGGAGCAAGTGGTGGTAATTTAAGAAGATCCTCAAGTAGAAGTCTGATTTTGTGATTTCAGAGTCTCTTTAATTGTTAATGTTACTATTATTAAATAACAGGTACATATATCCTAACAGTATAAATATGAACCAGAAAAATAGTATAAGAATGAACCACAGGCCGGGCACGGTGGCTCATGCCTGTAATCCCAGCATTTTGGGAGACCGAGGTGGGCAGATCACGAGGTCAGGAGTTTGAGGCCAGCCTGGCCAACATAGTGAAATCCCATCTCTACTAAAAATATACAAAAATTAGCCGGGTGTGGTGGCACGTGCCTGTAGTCCCAGCTACTGGGGAGGCTGAGGTGGGAGAATCGCTTGAACCTGGGAGGCAGAGGTTGCAGTGAGCTGAGACCACGCCATTGCACTCCAGCCTGGGCAACAGAGTGAGACTCCTCTCATAAAAAAAAAAGAATGAACCACGAAAGGTAGCATGCCTTGCACTTTTAAAATGCTACCTATAAGGTTAAATATTTTGTTATGAACTTAAAATGTGTACATACACATTTATATAACTCAACAATTGAAATGAAAGTTTCATGAAATAATACTTGTCTGTACTGCCTGTGATGCAGTATACTATTTTTCTATTCTGTTTCATTTTTAAAAAGGTTGGTTGTGATTGATAATATTGATTTAGTGGCTTGTGTGCTGTGCAGTCTTAGCAAAACCGATGTCGATTCCTGCTGTAATTTAGTTTTCAACAAACTTTTTTTTTTAATCCAGCTCTTTGCTGGGTGCTGGGGGGATACAAAGATGGATAAGACATAGTCTAGTGCTCAAGGAGCCACACAATGGCATGGAGAGTAATGAAAATAGAAGCTGCAATGCTGTAACTGCCCTAACAGAGGCATGCCCAGCCTGAGATGGAAGGGGCCACATCATTTCCTAGCAGGAAGATGGCAGTTTCTTCTAGGTTCACAGATTACTACTGCGTATAATCTGATAATCCCTCTTATGACGGGCTTACCTTGATGGGAAAGTTAGTTTTTTACCTAGATTTTATAAAAACTAAACAATAATCAAGTTTACTTGAAAATAAGATATTTTTGAACTTTTAGCTTACTGGCCAAGTTTGTTAAAAAATAAATATTAATCTTGGCACTTTGGGAGGCTGAGGCGGGCGGATCATGAGGTCAGGAGATCGAGACCATCCTGGCTAACACAGTGAAACCCCCTCTCTACTAAAAATACAAAAAATTAGCCGGGCGTGGTGGTGGGCGCCTGTAATCCCAGCTACTTGGGATGTTGAGGCAGGAAAATGGTGTGAACCCAGGAGGCGGAGCTTGCAGTGAGCCAGGATCGTGCCACTGCACTCCAGCCTGGGCAACAGTGTGAGACTCTCAAAAAAAAAATTAATAAATAAGATAAATGTTAATTATATAGATAATCTTTAAAAAAATTAAATTTTACAAATGAGTAATATTTTCCTAAATATGTCATAGGAACTAGCTTTAATATTATTATTGGAGAAATACTTCTTTCCTGACTTTTTCCCCCCTCAGTATTGTGACTTATTAAGAAAGGTAAAGTCAGGTAGAAGTTTAATATAAAAATATATTTGATTATTTGTACAGATGGTAAATTAAACTGTAAAATAAACCATTAACTTTTAAATAATGGAATAAAAGATGGGTACTTAATTATCCAACACTTAAAAATGATTTTTTTAAAAAATTGCAACTTGTGTATATTCTGTATATTGACTTTTTATCTCACAGTGAATTCACAATAATACTGAATCTAGACGTTAATAGATTAGTTGCATATTATCCAAAAAACATAAAGCATGACATTTCTATAGAATTTAGTTTCTGTAAGTTACGCAATTGTTACAGGTTTTTCCTGTGAAGGATAGGCTGCTACCTCAGGTTGAAGAAGCTAATGTTGGAGTGAATGTGGTGGTTGCCTTAGAATGATTTTGCCGGCAGCAGTGAAAAATGTTTTCCTTATAGTTCTTGTGCAGCAGGCCATGGAGTAAAGCACATTTTTATAATAAAGGTGATGAATTTAATCGCAAACTGGCAGCCTAATGGAAATTGCAGACCTTGATACTGGGAGAAAATTGCCTATAAAGCAACTCTTGAGAGAACAGGCTTTAAATTTATCCACCCATTTTGACATTGAGGAGAACATTGGAATCATAGGGTATTTTGCTTGGCCTGCTTAGTTCAGATGAATGACACTTGAGTATTCTATTTAAGTGTTAGAGATGGTTTAAAGTTAAGTTTTATACATTAAAGCCTTTAGCACATGCATTTTTGTATTTTATAAAGTATTTAAAATTTTGCTGGTTTTTAACATTTTAGTAGATGATATGCCTAATGAAATCCATTTGCCACGTTTCTAGTCATATGCCGTGTATTTCATGTTTCTGCTGTATATATGAGGAACTGCAATCTTAAAGGATATAGAATATTGTGGGCTTATAATTAACACTACTGACAGAATGTTTGTCATATAAATGATCAGTCTTTACTATTTTCTATTGTATTTAAGCCATTTATATTATAATATTTAAACACAGAATGGTAGAAAATTTCTATTACAGGAAAATCTGGGTTTTTGTCATTTTTTACTCTAAGTGACTAATGTTTGTAATTTCTTAGGAATAACCAAACCCTTGATTCAGTACACACTATTTAAAGTGTTTAATCCAGAATTTAGGTGCATTGTAGTGTGTATTTTGAGATGCCTGTTCTGTCCCGCAGTATACATGCTTGTTAACAGATAGCTAATGTCCAAGTTCAGAGAATTATTTGTGGCTATTGGAAACATTTACCCATCCAAGCAAGGTAAATGTTTAAAATGTAGAAATGCTGATGTAAAATATAAAAATAACATTTCTCATTATACTTATTGAAACTACTGGGGTTTAAAGGTAAAGAAGTGTTAACTTCTAGAAGGTTATTCGATTTTGCTTCCATACACAACCCTGATTCTTTTGACTGTAGTTTTGGGCAGCATGGTACATTACATAATAAGGGTATAGCTGTGGTAGATCTTTGTTCTCTTTAGGTATAGAATTGGAGAAGTTTAAGTTTAAAGCAAGTATGAGAGCTTAATATTTTGATGGAGAAAGCAAGAAAAACGTTTTACAAATTCTCTATTCAGGGAACAACTTACTGAGGTGGTCATGAGACTGAAGGTATGAAAAGGAAGAAATGGCAAGGTGCGGTGGCTCACACCTGTAATCCCAGCACTTTGGGAGGCCGAGGTGGGCTGATCACTTGAGGCCAGGAGTTCAAGACCAGCCAGGCCAACATGGTGAAACTCCATCTCTACTAAAACTACAAAAATTAGCTGGGCGTGGTGGTGTGTGCCTGTAGCAGGAGAATCTTTTGAACCTGGGAGGCCGAGGTTGCAGTGAGCCAAGATCACTCCATTGCTTTCAAGCCTGGGCGACAGAGCGAGACTCCGTCTCAAAAAAAAAAAAAAAAAAAAAAAAGGGAAGAAGAAATAGAAGTATTCCTTTTCTTGCTAAAGCAAGAACCAGTAAATTGTATATTTTTCATTGAAAGTAGTTCCATCTAAATTAAGAGCCTGACTTTTTGGAGAATGATTACATTCATAGGAGAAGAGCATGTAATGTTGGAGATACATTTGAATGTTTAGCCATCTCTCAATTTCCATGGAGAGGAGAGTTCAAAATAAATCAACTCTTTAATTCCCTTATCGGTGACATAGATACTTGGTCATTTGTTTTATTTGGCTGAAGGAAGCTGTGGCAAGTTGAGAATTCAGAGGTAAAGCCTTTGTGAGAGAGATGATGTAGTTTAATTATTTTAACTCTAGTTCTCCTGATCCAGGAAAGCTTTATTTTTACTTTCAGATGAAAATTAAAATTTGTTGCAATTTAACGTGTAACACGAAGCTAGAATAAGGTATATACATAAGCTATATATGTATATAATTTAAATGATACAAGTGATGTATGTATACATATAGTACTTATGTTAAAATTTTACTGTTTTTCTGTAACAGGCTATAAATTTAGTGTATCGATTATCAAAGTATAATTAGCTGAATATAATTATTTGTTTATGAGATGATACTAAATTCAGTTCCCATAGATACTGGTGGTGATTTACTTTTTAAAAAGAGTTTTTCTTGTTATGTGCTTAAATCCACACCCGAAATGTAGCCATAATTTAGTTCAAGATTGTTTATGCCACAGTCTGGAAAACACCTGAAGTAATTGAGATTTTTGAGTGGTTGTGAATGGATTTTAGAATCATGTGTTGAACAGTGACATCACTAAATTAGCCATAGTAATGTTACTGTTTCACATTGAGGGTTTCAGGTGTGATGCTTTTCAGTTTTTTGTTTTTGTTTAGATAACTATTTTAGGGTTTGAGTTATAGTTATGCAAATTTACATTACGGTAATGCAAATATACCTTCCAAACTTGTGTCAATATGTATTAGACGCTAAAATGCCCTCCCCTCCCATCTCTGTTTCCCTCAAATTATTCATTTGTGGTTAAACTAATTTTAAACTCCGGAAAAGTGGTTAAGCCAAAAAAGGTCAGATCCTGGAAGAAAAAGCTCTGACCTTTTAAAAAGAGTGTTGGAAAAGTATTTGACGGTCATTTTCATAAGCTAAATGTACTGTGAGGTTTGTGTTTGAGTAGCTTTTAAGGTTTTCTGGATTATGTGGTTGAATTTTAAGGAGGAACTTAGTAAAAATGAGTTGGGAAAATTAACCTGTTACATTCTACCTTCCTTTTGCTATGTATAGTAGATCTACATGTGAGAAGTCATTTGCAAACAGCATTTGTTAGGTGTCTTTTCTAAGTATTTTTTATGCCTACAAAGTCTGGGAAAAGACCATTTTCAGATTTCAGATAATATTTCAGATAAATAATGATCAGATCAGTAGATACTGTCTTTCAGATCTATCAGAACACAGTATTTCCAGAATATAATTTTACATCACAGTCATCATTTATAATGACATTGATGACCAGTACTATTATTATTTTAAAGAGAAAGATATATATACACATACACATAAAGTCATGCATTGCTTAAAGACAGTGATAGATTCTGATAAATGCATCATTATGCTATTTCCTTTTGCGAACATCATAGGGTGTACTTGCATAAATCTAGATGGTATAGCCTACTACACACCTCAGCTGTATGGTATAGCCTTTTTTGTTCCTAGGCTGCAAACCTGTACAGCATGCTACTGTACTGAATACTGTAGGCAGTTATAACACAATGGTATTTGTGTAAACGTAGAAACATTCTAAACATAGAAAAGGTACAGTAAAAATGTGGTATAAAAGATAAAAAATGGTATACCTGTATAAAGCACTTACCATAAATGGGGCTTGCAGGACTGGAAGTTGCTCTCGGTGAGTCAGTGAGTGAGTGGTGAGTGAATGTGTGAAAGTCCTAGGATACTACTGTGGATTTAATAAACATTGTATTCTTAGGCTGCCCTGAATTTATAAAAGATATTTTTCTTAAGTAATAAATTAACCTTAACATACTATAACTTTATAAACTTCTAAATTTTTTAAACCTTTGACTACAATTACAGTTTAAAATACAAATACATTATACAGCTGTACAGAAATATTTTCTTTATATCCTTATTCTATAAGCTCTTTTCTGTTTTCGAACTTTTCTATTTAATTTTTACTTCTGAGTCCTTTTTGTTGAAGACAAACACACACATTAACCTAGGCCTGCACAGGGTCCAGATCATCAGTTTCATCTTCTTTCACCTCCACAGCTTGGCCCACTGCCAGGTCTTCATGGGCAAGGGCTGTATGGCTTACCAGTGTGTCTCCAGCACAGTGTCTGATACCACAGAAAGATAGGAACTACTGCATTAATAATAGCAGATTCTTGAGCATGTATTACATGACAGACACCTACAAATATTTGTTGTTCAAGCGAAAGAATTTATTCTATCAAACTCAGAATTTTCGCTCTAGAATAATCCTTCGTGGTTTTTTTTTGTTTTTTTTTTTTTTCGGGGGGGTGGGGGACGGAGTCTCACTCTGTTGCCCAGGCTGGATTGCAGTGGCACGATCTCGGCTCAATGCACCCTCCGCCTCCTGGTTTCAAGTGATTCTCCTGCCTCAGTCTCCCGAGTAGCTGGGATTACAGGTGCCCGCCACCACACATGGCTAATTTTTTTTTTTGTATTCTTAGTAGAGATGGGGTTTCACCGTGTTGGCCAGGCTGTTCTCAAACTGCTGACCTCAGGTGATCCACTTATCTCGGCCTCCCAAAGTGTTGAGATTACAGGCATGAGCCACCGCGTCCTGAATCCTTTTTTTTTTTTTTTTTGAAACAGAGTCTCACTCTGTTGCCCAGGCTGGAGTACAGTGGCTTGGCTCACTGCAACCTCCATCTCCAGGGTGTGAGCAATTCTCATGTCTCAGCCTCCCGAGTAGCAGGTAATACAAGTGTGTGCCACCACGCCCAGCTAATTTGTGTATTTTTAGTAAAGATTGAGTTTTGCCATGTTGACCAGGCTGATCTCGAACTCCTGATCTCAAGTGATCTGCCTGCCTTGGCCTCCCAAAGTGCTGGAATTACAGACGTGAGCTACTGTGCCTGGCCTAGAATAATCTTAGAAGTCCTCATGGATGAGTAAATATGGATGGTGAAAAGCTTAAATGAGAATGTCTTGTCTGATTTTCATTCCACTTTTAATTTGAATATACCATTTCCTTTCCCCCCTCATTGTATATGTCTCTACTTTTTTGTTCTTTACTTTATTCATAGTTCTAATTTCTACTCACTGCCCCATCTTTTCCTTCTTCTCTATCTAGCTCTTACCATCTGTCATCACTGCTTTTCCCACTATCATGATCACTCACTCTAGCAGCAACCAAATTTAACTTTGGGGATGGAGCAGTAGTGCTGGAGAGGCCAAATGGTATGAGTAAAAGAATACAGCTTTTGGAGTCAGCTAGATTTTCATCTTTATGTGGTCTTTGGTGAAAGTACTTAATCCCCAAATCTCTCTTTCCTAACTATGAAATGAAGGTGAAAATATTACTTACCTGTAAGGGAATCTACCTGATAATAATGGAATAAAATGCTGACTTCCACCACAGAGTTCTTGGGGAGGCTTTTTATGTGGAAAGACATTAGACTTCATTACTCTGAATTCTGGATTTGTATCTCCTAGCCATATAGACTGAATGACTGTAGAATCCAACATAATGCTTTTAATATTGGCATAACTTCCTTAGTTTAAGTTATATGATGAGATGTAGAAACTCAATAAAAGGTAAAATTATTCTTTGTGTTATGAAGTATGTTTAGAGGTTTCTTTTAAGAGGTCTTATTTTGCTACTCTGCTTCAACTATAGTTTTTGTTCATTTAGTTTGTTATAGAACTGGGACCATGTCTGTATTTGCACATGACTATATTCCTAGGGCCTTGGCCAGTGCCTGGTACAGAGTAGGTGTAAAATACATAGTTGTTGAATGCATATACGAAAAAAATCATTATATTGTATCATTGGTAAGACAGTTTTTTTTTTTTAAAACAGGTTATACTTTATTCAGGTCAGTTCAATTTTGTAAAGTTTTTACTTTTAGGAAATTAAAAAGCTTTTATTTTATTATGTTCTGAATATATTTTTACTAAATATACTTTGAGTACAGGGTTAATTAGGACTGTGCAGGCTATGAATATAGGGTTTATGATAAAGCTCAGTAGGAGTGGATGATTGCAGTCCTTTTGTGCAATCCTGGCAGGAGCAGCCTTTTCCTTATTGGCTCGGTTTTTTTCTTAAAGCCAAGACTAAGCACATATTTAGATGCCTGTATATTTTATTTTCTCATCTGATGTAAGATACACTGGAAGAATTTAGCATTGATGTAATGAACATATGTTATTAGCAAAGTGTTCTAAACTTCTCAAGTCCAGAATAAAGAGACCAAGCCATTTGCAGAAGAGCACTGTGCATTTATATTACTTTAAAGGGAAGAGGAGTAAGCTAGCTAGAATTGTCAAGCAGATGCCATATTGATGCTTGAGTGAAGTTACAAGAAATATTTTTGGAGCTTTGCGTGTTTTTGTGCTAATAGTCCTAATATTTGTTCAAAAGGTGTTTTTTCTCCAAGGATGTAGATGTTACAAATATAGCAAAAGGCAAAAACAAAGCTATCTGCCCTCTCAGCTAACATTCTAATGTCAACAGGCAATAATCAATAAACAAGTACAGTAATGTATTAGGAAATATGAATTATAGAAATAAAATTGAAGGGTAAAGGGGATCTGGAGTGTTCCTATGGATTGAGGCAAGTTGCTGTTTAAAAATAGGAAGATCAAGGTTGGACTCCTTGAAAAACTGGAGCAGAAATCTGAAGGAGGTGTTAGTGTGAGCCATACTGCTCTTTGGGGAAAAGCTTTCCAAGGCAGGGAAAGAGTTACTGCAAAACCTTGAGGGCAGGGCTAGCAATTCCTTGTGTGGACTTGTAGCCAGGGACGGAGGTTAGGTTGGTTAAGGACATTTGATCAGAAGGGCAAAAAAGGTGAGGGCAAGGGGAGCCTGTGTGGATGCTGTAGGCTATTGTTTATCTTTGTAAGGACCTGGGCTTTTATACCAACTGAGATGGGAAATCATTAGAGCAGTGGTTCTGGGCATCCTTTTAGGGAATCTGTGAAATCAGACTATCTTTGTGATAATAAGATGTTATTTGCCATTTTCACCACCATTTACATACGAATGTACAGTGGAGTTTTCCAGAGGCTGCGTGCTATGTGATATTGCAACAGATTGAATTCAAGAGAAGAGAGAATCTAGCTGTCTTTATTAAAACAGACATTTAAAAGATTGCAAAAGTATAAAACTGACCTTTTCAGTAATTTGTTTAGTTGGAAAATAGGTTATTTTCTGTAAAATGTGCATTTTTGGTTAATATATAATAAGTTTACTAGTATTTTAAAATGAAAAAATAATTTAAACATTTTTAGTTTTAATTTCTAGCGTGGTAAGTTTTATTAGACATAACTTTCATGAACAGGGATCTCTTTGGGCTCCTCCAATTAATTTTTAGAGAGTGGAGTCCTGAAACCAAAAAGTTTGAACAGAGGAGTGACATCTCACTTGGATTTCAGCAGGCTAACTCCAAAGAATAAAGAATAGACTGACCAAGGTAGTGGTGGAAGCAGGTAGACCGGTTAGGTTAAGATTAGGTAGGAAATGATTGTGGTTAGAGCTGTAATGTTAGGGCTTGTGATGGTGAAGTGAAATTGGGGATATAGTCTGAAAGTTGAGTACACAGTATTTGCTAGTGGATGGAATATGAAGTGTGAGAATGGACTTGACATTGTGTCATTGCCCGAGATCAGGAGGAACAAATTTTGGGGAAGGCTTAGGAGTTTAGTCTTGAATGTATCAGATAGGTTGAGAAGGGAGTTGGTGATAGGATTTCATTGTGGAGGGTTGGTCTGGAATGTCCATTACCAGGGTTTTTGTTGGATTGTATTAGTAATATATATTTTTTAAATATAGTATTTAGCTTCTAATCAGTTATACTTTTACAATCTCAACACAGAGGGCTGTATTCTGCATTGAAAAACTGATTAAATTTGCTTTCCAAGTATGTTATTATATGATAGAATGTACACTTGAAGAGGCAGTAAAAAAGTAATAAATGTAGATTTGCCAGTAGCATGACATGACTTAGATTTTCTGAATCTTTGTGAAGTAAACCAACTGTGGTTTAATTAAAGGAGATCATATTGCTTACCATATTAAAATAATGTTTTCAATACCAATTACTTTGACATTTGAAGGCACTGTGTAATATGTTGGTCTTGTTACAGACCAAGATATTTTTGCTGAATTTTATTTTTCGAATTCAATGTCAGTGCTTGTTGTAGTTCCTTTTGGAATATTGTGTATAGTAGATTGTTTCTTAAGCCTTTAAAAAACTCTTCACCGGGTACAGTGGCTCACGCCTGTAATCCCAGCACTTTGGGAGGCCAAGGCGGGTGGATTACGAGGTCAGGAGTTCAAAACCAGCCTGGCCAAGATGGTGAAATGCTGTCTCTGCTAAAAATACAAAAATTAGTCGGTGTGGTGGCGGGTGCCTGTATTCCCAGCTACTTGGGAGACTGAGGCAGATAATGGCTTGAATCCGGGAGGCAGAGGTTGCAGTGAGCCAAGATTGCGCCACTACATTCCAGCCTGGGCGAGACTCCGTCTCAAAACAATAACAAC
This sequence comes from Homo sapiens, assembly GCF_000001405.40. NCBI lineage: Eukaryota > Metazoa > Chordata > Mammalia > Primates > Hominidae > Homo > Homo sapiens. The sequence continues at coordinate 163,443,573 of NC_000006.12, forward strand.
AACAACAACAACAACTCCTCTTGGCTTTTTCATAATATGAGAGAATTCTCTTGCAACACCTGTGAATGTCTTTTGACATGTATTTTCTTTCCTAAAAATGTCATGAAGTGACAGACATGTATTTGCTTTGTTTATGGTATTAAGGTGATACTGAGGTAAACCTATGCTACATGATTATAAACCTTAGGTTCTTTCTGTATTGTACTTAGGTGAAATTTTGAATACAATCGAAAAGGTTAATTAAAAATCAAATAAATTATTACCTAGGAAAAAGCAATTTACCCCTACCTCCTACACAGACGTAACTCCTTCAGAATTTTTGGGGCATCGGTTTCATTTTCAGTCTGATTTACCAAATTCCTTTTAAAGCCCTAAGGGATTTGGAGCTTCAAGAGGGCGAAATACATAGGTACAGACCTTTCCCCACTTCTTCAAGAGCAAGTGTAGAGGAATCTAATTACATGAGGATTTGGTGTTTTCCGAGGATGTAATTTAAAGTAAATTCTGGTGGCCAGTAGTAGTTTAAGACATTTTAGAATATATAGTTCTGGCAGGAGTAGGATAGTCTGGCCTGGAGTTCTCAACCAGTCATTGAGTATATACAGCCCTTGCCTGTAGGGGGTCAGTACAGAAGGAGCACAAAATGGAATTCTCTGTAAGAAGACAAAGAGATGCATTTTAGGGCAGATGGAAGCCATAAATGTGATGTGGTCTAATGTGCTCATTTCGCAGATGAAGAAAATGAGACCCAGAAGGTTCAGTTTGAAGGCACACAGCTCAGCTAAATCATGCTGGCGAAACAGGAGTAAAATCCAGGTTGTGTAAACTCAAGGCCAGTGCTTTTTGCCTTACCACATGTATTAGGAAGATAGGCTTTTTATAGAAAGGTCATTGTTTTGGATTGTAATCTTTCTCCACCTTCTTTAAGGAAAGTTCAAAGTGTGTGTGTTTTCTTTTAAAGCAGTATATTAAAGAAAATCTAAAACGTATAGATAAAATTTACAAAGCTTTTGCAGGGAAAGTCATCTGTAGTTGAGGTTAACATTAGATCTTTTATCTGTGGATATTTATTTTGGAGAAGAGTAACGAATATATTAAGCACTTATATTTAACATATATTTTGGATGATTAGTAATGATTGCTTATTTGAAGAAAGCAAATATGTATAATTAAAATTTTAACAACATTATTTAAACTGTAGAAGATACCATTTTGAGTGATTTTTTTCCCTCAGTTTTCTTTATCTTTTTTCACAGCTTTCATACTTTGTCACATTATTTCCCCCCTTCCCTCATTAGAATAAATAACCCCAAAGTCCAAAGCAAACACTTTTTAATTATTATTATTATTATTTTTGAGACAGGGTCCTGCTCTGTCACCCAGGCGAGTGCAGCGGAGTGATCATGGACCACTGCAGCCTCTACTTCCTGGGCTCAAGCGATCTTTCCACCTCAGTCTTGAGTAGCTGGGACTACAGGCACACCACCACACCTGGCTAATTTTTGTGGAGATGGGATTTGCCATGTTGCCCAGGCTCACTTTTTAAATTGTAATTCTTTATTTTGAAATAAATTTAGATTTACATAACAGTGGAAAAAAATAATGTGGATGTTAACTCATATAATCATAGTATAGTTATGGGAAGCAGGAAATGAGTATTGATACAGTGCTATCACTAATCTGCAAATCTTACTCAAATTTTACCTGTTTTCCTCCTCACTCTGTTGGTTTTTCTGGTCCAGGTTTTCCTACTCTGTTGGTTTTTCTGGTCCAGGTTTTCCTACTCTGTTGGTTTTTCTGGTCCAGGATTCCACATTGTATTTAGTAGTGATGTCTGTTTCGTTTCCTCCAATCTGTGGCCATTTCACATTCTTTCATGACCTTGACACTTTTGAAGAATGCTAGTTATTTTATAAAAATGTTCTTGAATTTGGGTTTGTTTGATGTGTTCTCATGATTATAATGAGGACCATTTTTGGCAAAACAATCACACACAAGCGCTGTTGTGCCCATCTCAGTGGATCATGCTGTGGAGTATATGTCTTTTTTTTTTTTTTTTTTAGTTGGAGTCTTGCTCCGTTGCCCAGGCTGGAGTGCAGGGGCACCATCTCGGCTCACTCCAGGCTCCGCCTCCCGGGTTCATGCCATTCTCCTACCTCAGCCTCTTGAGTAGCTGGGACTACAGGCGCCCGCCACCACGCCCAGCTAATTTTTTGTATTTTTAGTAGAGAAGGGATTTCACTGTGTTAGCCAGGATGGTCTCGATCTCCTGACCTCCTCATCCGTCCACCTCGGCCTCCCAAAGTGCTGGGATTACAGGCGTGAGCCATCGAGCCCGACCGTTGTGGGGTATATGTCTTAATACTGGTAATATTAACTTTGATTAGTTGGTTAAGGCGATGTCTGTCAGATTTCTCCACTGTAGTTTCTCCTTTTTTCCTTAGTAATTAATAAATGCCTTACAGGGGAGATACTCTGAAACCGTACAGCTATCCTTTCATATTTTTGCTAACTAATTTAGCATTCATTGAATGATTTTTGTTTGCATTGATTTTTACTAATTAAAATTCTTTAAGGAAGAGCTGTCCCCTTTCCCCCTTGTATTTATTTATTCAGTTATTTATATCAATCTTTTCTTATGGGTTGTAATTCATTACTATCACTATATAAGTAAAAACTTTTAAGAAAAGTTTCTGAAAAGTTAATACATTGAGATAATTCAAAATTCAGAGACTCGTAAGAGTACATTTTCTTCTATCCCTGTTATCTTGGGTACCCGTTTCCATTGCTAAGAGTTTATTTTTATTCTTTCAGAAATATTAAAGGATTGGGAAAAGAGTTGTTAATAATAATTGCTGGATTCTCAGGTATTTCTTTTTACCTGGATTCTGATGATATCAAACTAACTTGCTGTTGCATCTTCTTCGGATATTCATTAAAATGTTACTTAACTAGTTCGCCATTAGATTTAAATTTACATTTCAGTACAGTGACTATTATATATAGATGGGGACTGGCTTCCCCTGAGTATCCTAAGAAACGACATGACCAGAAGACCACATTTTCTATTAAATAAATAATAGTTAAATATTAACGTGTAAAAGTAAACAGGTTTAAAAGTAAACTCTTTTTTGGTAAGTTGAAACAAAAGTCAGTTTAAATGAGAAAGGCTGCCTATCCAATTAAGTAACTGGTTTTTCAAAAGTGAATGAAGGCCCTCCCCACCAAGTCCCCCGCTCTGTTCTGTTCTTTTCAGTGACCTATTTTACTTTCTGTGTCTACTGGCAGTATCCGTTTATTCATTCAGGATGTCACTTTAGGAACCTAGACCTGGAGTTCATCTACAGAACTGTGTTCTGTTAAAATGGAGTGAAAGAAAAGGGCTAAAAAGACTTTCTTTCACACGCTATTAAAACAGTGAACATACTGGTCTACACTTATTATAGTACAGCCAGCAATACATCAAAAGGTGGCTTATTCCATTTTATTTCCATTCTCTAATTACCGTTTCTTAAAATGAATTTTAAGAGTTTCTTATGCCAGGAAATCCTCTATGAAACTCTTAAGTAAAGCTGGTTAGACTAGCTGTGACTTGGTCCAGTTTCTTTTATTTTTTTGATTTACCTTTTCTTTATTTTTATTGATAGATATTTTACATATTTATGAGGTGCACGTGATTTTTTTTTTTTTTTTTTTTGCTACATACATAGAATGTGTAATGATTAAGTCAGAGTATTTGAGGTCTCCATCACCTTGAGTATTTATTATTTCTGTATGTTGGGGATAATTCAAGTTCTCTCTTCTAGCTACTTTGAAATATACAATGTATTAGTTAACTGTAGTCACTCTAATCTGCTGTTGAACAGTAAAATTCATACCTTTATCTAATTATATGTTTGTACCTATTAACATACTTCTCTTCATCTCTTCTCCTACTCATCCATCCTTCCCAGCCTCTGGTATCTATAATTCTACTCTGCCTTTATGAGCTAACTTTTGTAGCTTCCCTGTATGTGTGATTGAGGACATAACGATATTTGTTAATTCTTTAATCACTGAGCATTAGTTGTTTTTTCTTTTTATTTTGAGGGGACAGTAAAAAGGGTATTGTAATATATCCTCCTTCAGATTCTGGTGAAGACCAGTTGAGTCATGTAAAAAATAACTAGATCGCTTTATTTTTAGAGTTGGGAGGCAATGAATTATAACATCTTTATTATGCTACTGTTTTTATATAGGCAGTCCCATGCTTGCAGTGTTTTGATGTAAGCTTTTCTGCTTTCTACTCTCCTAATAGGTGATTATTGTAAGAAAAATTTATATAATAACATGAAAGCGAAATAGTCCTCGTAAATTCATCTCCCAGAGATGATTACTGTTAATAGTTGTATCTTTTTTGACTTTGTTGTGTCTACCAAAAAAATGTATACTTAAATATAAATTTGATCATACAGTAGAGGTTCTTTTCTATAACCCCAGGAACGTGTGTGCAACTTACTGTTAGGTACTTCTGTAATACAGAACTGCTGCTGAGAACAATCAGGAAAATCGAATTAACATTGTTACAAAGTTTTTGCTGTTTTGTATTTTTGCATGTGAAATTTATCGCCAGTTGTGGACAATTGTTAGTTTTGGTAGTACAAAGAGGAGTTATGATTAATTTAATTTTGTAGTTTTTGTTTTTGGACTTAGGATTGTGAAGTACAGAGTACAATTTAACCCTTGGAATAAGGTTCCATCTAGGGAATTACTAATAGCTTGGGTTTTTTTTTTTTTTTTCTTGCCAGTTTGAAAGCAGTTACTTTGAAATTAAATCAGATTTATTTGGTTGTTAGAGTAAGCAAACATATTTCACTTAATAGTCTGTACTCTAGGCTAGGCGCAGTGGCTCACGCCTGTAATCCCAGCACTTTGTGAGGCCAAGGCGGGTGGATCACCTGAGGTCAGGAGTTCGAGACCAGCCTGGCCGACATGGTGAAACCCCGTGTCTACTAAAAAAAAAAATAATAATAAATTAGCTGACCATGGTGGCGGGCACCTGTAATCCCAGCTACTCGGGGAGGCCGAGGCAGGAGAATCGCTTGAACCCAGGAGGCGGAGGTTGCAGTGAGCTAAGATTGTGCCATTGCACTCCAGCCTTGGTGAAAAGAGTGAAACTCCATCTCAAAAATAAATAAGTAAATAAATAATACTCTAGTAACTTGCTTTTTAATCTAGTTGCTCTCTGTACCTTGTGAACTTGGCCTCTTAAAAAGAGCACAGTGAAGTTAAATTCCATGGGTGGTTCTCAGCTCAAAAATAACTTTAAAACTTTCTCTGTATTTAGTCAAGCCTTAATTAAAGTTTATTTCTTTTTACAGAAGAGATTGTTGTTAACCCTAAATTCATAAGGTTACACACCAGCCACCTCTTTATGAAGTGACAGTTCTTCAGTTTTAAATAGATTACTAATATTATTGTTTTAAGATTTAATGAGTATTATCTAAATAAAAACGAGTAATTTGTTATTAAGACCTAAAATAACTAAATCTTACTTTGCTGTTTGTGTTAGTGAGCTACTTTAATGTCTAGCAAGAGGTAGGGATTGCAGACAGTGTGGAAATACTGGAGCCTATTTAAGCTTCAGATGAAAGCAGTCATTTTAACTTACCTCATAAAATGTATTTTATGTATATCAAATTATGTATGTGTTTATATATACTTGTCGTTTTACTGACAACTAAGATTTTCCATAAGTTAATGGAAAATGTTAAAAAGCACAGTTATGGTCAAATGACACAGTGACCTTTTCATTCCTTTATTAGCTCCTGCTCTAGTACAATGATAAGGCAGATTTTGTTGATGGATTCAAATGTACAAAGAAACAGCAGATAGATACCCAGTGAAAAAATATATATGTCTATAACATCAGCATTGCAAGTTGAGCAATTGAATCAGCTACCACAACACTAAGTATAAGATGCATTTTATGTGAGTTTTTCTTCAGTGTTTTAAAACTGTTTTGTTTTTTTACAAATCCTGAAAGTAATTCTTTGGTGCATTTTGGCTTTGAATTTTACTTTTCATTAATATTTTGTTGCTTATGATTGAGTTAGTAAATAGTTTTTGTGTTTCATTTCCTAATTTTGATTTTCTTAGTTTAAATTTGCTGAAAAATTTCTAAACCAGAAAGTAATATAGAGCTGTATTTGATTCTTTGGCTTTCCAACATTGCAGTATTGATTTTATACACAGCCTTAGCTATGTATTTATATATTTTATGAAATGACTGCTCAATGCTGTAATTTAGATTTCTCACCCCATATTTTTTTATTCTCTTAACAGTTTTTCCTGTTCTTAATTCCAGTGTTCTAGTTTTCCAGTGATTGATCTGTTAGTTAAATCCAATAATTCATATATATGTAATTGGATTTAACATATGTGTGTATAACATATATGTATAACATATATATACACACACATATATATGTATATATGTGTATATATATATGTATTTCTTTTTTGAGATGGAGTCTCACCCTGTCACCCAGACTGTAGTGCAGTGGCATGATCTCAGCTTACTGCAGCCTCTGTCTCCCGAGTTTAAGCAATTCTCCTGCCTCAGCCTCCCGAGTAGCTGGGATGACAGGTGCCTGCCACCACACCTGGCCAATTTTTGTATTTTTAGTAGAGATGGGGTTTTGCCATGTTGGCCAGGCTGGTCTTGAACTCCTAACTTCAAGTGATCTGCCCACCTCGGCCTCCCAAATTGTTGGGATTACAGGCGTGATCCACCACAACCGGCCCAGTAATTCAGATATTAAAAGGATATGTACAAAAGTAGCAGAGTGCACGTACAATAATTTGGATACAGTAAAAGAGTAGTGGTAATGGAAAAGCCAAAGACAAACATGAGCTGAGGCTGTTGAAACATGAAACCTAAGAATTACTTTAAAACCTTTTAGTGAAATCCATAGTTGGGTGAATTAAGGGGAAAGAAAAAAGAATAAAGGTCACATAAAACAGAACTGTGCAGTGACATCGGAGCAGAATTAACTGACAGTTGAGCCTTAGTTTGGAAAAGAAAAAAAATCAAGATAATTAAAGCAGAGAAATGTGACGAGGCAGTAAGTAGTAACAGGTTTTCAGGCCTAAACAAAAAATAGTTTTCAGCGTAGTGAAATTCGAAAAAAAAAAAGTAAATTCAAAAAATTGTAGGAAATGGGAGGAGCCTAAATGCTGTAAAGGCAAATACTCCCCAAAGCTGAAAAATGTATATGCTAAATTTGATGGCATAACCTGTAGATTCCTAAGCAGATTATTTCCTATTTAAACTGGTGGCTCCAGAAGGAGGTTCTGGTCCCATTGTAGCTTGGGATTTCATCAAGTAGTAGATAAAGATGTGCCTGTATTTTGGGATCTGGGCCAAAGAAATCTGTGCTCTATAAAATTACGGTTGGATTCTTGACTCGGAGACTATTCATCCTTAAAGAATAAAGAATATCAGCTGATAGATTAATATCAGTCTGCTGAAGGGATATGTGTAGCAGAAAATAACCAGGAAAAAAATTGAAATCTTCTGTTGGTGTCTAAACAAACAGTTGTGGAATTATGGAATGGTAGAGACTTGTCTTAACACCATTAGCAAAATGTCAGCAGTGTGCTGTGTTTGCCAAGGAAGTAAAGATATTCTTAAACATCATCACCTCTTAAACAGTGATTATGGATGGGGCAGAGTTTGGGACTAGAATTTGATAGCTTCAGTTGGCTTATCCATTGATCATTATGGAATGTTGTGTACAGTATAGGGTTTTGCATATTAAAAGGGACCTAGACAGATCAGAGTGCATCTAAACAAGTGGGAGGGTATAAAACCATGTCATTGGTTTAGGGAAGAGGACACTTAGATATTTTAGAATTTTTCCAATGTTTATGGGGCTGCTGAGTTGTGGCCAATGGTAGAAATTTTAGGAGAGCAGATTTTGGTTTATTAAAACAAATTTATAATATTTAAGATCTTTAGAGATGTCTAAAAATTTCTCTTGATACTGGGGATATTTAGATAGAAAATACATGCCTGGGGTTCATGTTGGGAGATTTTTTGTACTATGCGTGATTAAGCAAACGGTTCTGAACTTCAGTTCTCTGAACAACTGCTGCGGGTTGTTGAAGGTAGTGCAGTTGGTGGTGGGGCATTTGAGTGTTGTAATGTTTGATACAGCAAAATAGTGTGTACAGCATATTAGTTATGAAGCATTCCTATGTTTCATGAGAACACCTGTGAAGCTATTACTTACAAAAGGACTAAAGCATTTCCCAAACCCGTACTCGTTGCATGTTTCCATAGTAGTTTGGCTATAATTGTATCCTCCTGCTAGGATAACATTCCCAGAAGCTCTGATTGCCACGACTTACAAATGGAAAGTTTTAAAGACAAAACTTTTAAAAACAGGATTATGGAGAAAAAGAATAAATGGGGCTCTTGCATAGTAAGATTGGAAACCAGTGGATTTAGTTCATTCATTGAATAAGTATATGAAGCACAGACACAGAGAGGTTGTAAGAAAGAGACTTGTCTAAAATCACAGTTACTGTTAGAACTGGAATCAGAACTTGCTCTGACTCGAGTGTTCTGAATAACACCAGAATGCTGATGATTTTCTACTTTTTTCCCCTGTTTATAAAGGTAGTACATAGTTGGCCAAACTCAACAGTGAGTAAGATTTTTAAGTCCTTGAGGACTGGAACTATGTCTTAGTTACCTTTTCATTCCCATCATTACTATCTTATACATTAATTTGTGTTCTGTTATGAAATTGAGTGATATATCTTAGAGACTGAAAAAAATCGTGGTAGAAAGACTTCTTATCTGTCTTCCTTATTAGAATAAGTTATTTGAGAGCTGGAACCATGACTTGTTTAACTTTAATGCTCCAGAAACCTAGCTCTTTCTTGCCTTTGTTTACCCCCACCAAGTATTTATTGAGGGCCAGCTGTGTTCCAGGCACTGTTCAAGGACCTGCGGACACACTGGGTAACAGAATCTCATGGAATTTTGTGTTATTAATCAAGGAATCACATAGGTATTTATAAAAATACAACTTAAGTGGTAAATGGCTTGTATCATCTAACCAGATAGATGCTTATATATGAGGACTGTTTGTTTTATACATTTTCTTTTTATTTATTTTTTTAGACAGTTTTTTGCTCTTGTTGCCCGGGCTGGAGTGCAATGGCACCATCTCGGCTCACTGAAATCTCCGCCTCCTGAGTACAAGCGATTCTCCTGCCTCAGCCTCCTGAGTAGCTGGGATTACAGGCGTCTGCCACCATGCCCAGCTAATTTTTGTATTTTTAGTAGAGACGGGGTTTCACTATGTTGGCTAGGCTGCTCTTGAACTCCTGACCTCAAGTGGTCTGCCTGCCTTGGCCTCCCAAAGTGCTGGGATTACAGGCATGAGCCACTGCGCCCGGCACGTTTATTTAATTTTTTAATCTAGTCATTTTATCTGAATTTTCTGATAACTTGCAATAGATTCTTTTGTTTTTTTTTTTTCTAAGTTTGATAAATTTGTTTATCTGGAAAATCAGTATTTTTTCTTCCCTAGATTTATTATATTACTATGGTTACTTATAATAGTAGATTTTTCAATATTGAACTATTCTTGCACTCAGGGTATAAATTCTACTATATCTTAGTGCATTTTTCTTTTTCTATTTATTTCAGATGTTTGCATCTATATTTTTAAGCAAATTTTATCTATAGTTTTCTTTCATGCTGCTATTCTCAGGCTTTGATATTAGTGTGGTGCTAACTGCAGTAAGAATAGGTAGTTTCCGAAGAAGATATTTAAATAATAATTATATGGAAAGTGCTTTTTTAGTCCAGAGACCTGGCTAAAGGATGTATGTGTGATTTTAATTAGATTAAATTTTTCTAATGTCCCTTGGTTAATTACTTGCTGTAATTATGTAAATGATGTAAAGGAGTTTAAATTGTTGCTTGGTTGTTGAAAACTTGATTTGAGAATTGCTGTCATATGCTAATTTAAGATAAACACCAAGTTGATACTGGACATTATTAGGAAAGATTTAATTATGAAGCTAGAAGTATAAAAAGAACCTTAGGAAATAATAAAATTCTGCCCTTATCATGTAGTCAAATCCAAGGTAATCTCTAGATTTTTGTTGATTTTATTTGCTATTCAGAGAAAAGCATTTCGTAAGCTTTGACAAACAAATTGTTATTTAAGAGATAAAATTTGTAATATGAATATTGGTATCACTGAAGCAGAAAATGTATTACAGTGCCTTTTTTAATTGATTAAGATTTTATAACTGAGTAAGAGTACCTTTGATCCTGCCTTTTTGCTGTGTTGGATTTTATTTAACCGAAACTGATTTAAATAACTAGTTAGAAAAATTAAAGAGTGCCTTCATATTTGATAGTTCCTAAGGAACTATCAATAAATTGAACTTCCCCATGTTTGGAAAGCATACAAAATACATTTAAAAAATACATTTTATTTTTAAATACTAATGGATGCAAGCCTTTCTCCCAAGGAGGACACAGTCTGTAGGATAGAGAGACATTACATCTGCATCTGGCTAACCTTAATAATGACAACCCTTATTGGGCAGTATGTTCCAAAGGACAGGAGCCTGTCTTCTGGTGCATACTAGAAGCTTAATAATTTTTGAAAAGATCCATTTTCTTTATGGGACTCGGCTCATTAAAATAGAATTCTCCTACTTTTAAAAAAAATGTCTATGTATATCCAAGAACAGTAATACAGGTCTTTAAAAACAGGTCATTGATTTTAGGTATTGCTACTTCCTTTTTTATATTTAATATTTCAATCATTAACCCAGTGTAGCTTGATCTGTTACCCTCTTTCCCTTGAAACTTCTCTGATCACCAGTGGCTTAGTGGTCAAATCCAAGGTACCATCTTTTGCTGTTTATCTTACATTCTTTTGTAGTATTCGATACTGTTGGTCACCCTGTCCTTGAATCTGTCATTTCTTAGCTTCTATAACACCTCTCTTCTCTAGTTCTCCTGCCTACCTCCATTTCTTCTTGGTTTGGATCTTCTTTTCCTTACCCCTTCCTTTTTCTCAAGTGGATTCCGTCCTTCTTTCTCCCATTACTTGCTCTAAGACATCTCTTCTGATAGCTTTAACCATTAAATTTGTATATGAAACTCAGACTTCTGCTGAACTTGCAGTCTGTTGTCTTTTGAACATCTCTGTTTGGATATTCCAAAGATATCTAAAAATAATGGAAGTGGTCCCGTTTAAATATCCTTCGGACAAATTAGTTCTGAAGTACAAAAGAGGCTTTGGTATTAGTTTTGTCTGACAGGCATTCTTATAGTTGTTTACTGAAGCTATGATTTGGAATGACTGGCCTCGTTTAGACTTGGAAAAATTAGATGAACTAACAAGTCCATATTATACCGGTTAGGAAGGAGCTCGGGCTTTGAAGTTAATTTAATAAGATATGTTATTTGATTCGTATAAAAATTGGTTTGTAGTAGAAATTAATTAAGGCTATAGTCTTGTTTAAACATGGGCTTAATCCAGAGAATGATAGAATAGGCCAGGAGCTCCTTATTTGAGTTTTAATGCTTTATCAATGAAACCCTCCCCTGCCCTCTCTTTTTTCCTCTGGACTAGCAAGAATATTTTTTTTGTCTAACACATTTAAAATTTTTACTTTTAACAGAAATTAGCAGAGTACGGAAAGACATGTACAATGACACATTAAATGGCAGTACAGAGAAAAGGAGTGCAGAATTGCCTGATGCTGTGGGACCTATTGTTCAGTTACAAGAGAAACTTTATGTGCCTGTAAAAGAATACCCAGATGTAAGTATATTTTGTTGTTTTATTCAATTTTGTTCTGCTTCACATATGTTGGGAAGAGATATATTTGGTGGTAAATACTTAAGCATTATTAGCCACTTTAAAAAAATGCAGTCATCAACTGAAGTGTGAATAATTTGGCATGATAATTTAAAAAATTTCTCTCTAAATATGTTTGCATTTGATTGCTGCTATGTCACTTTGGAAATGCACATGGTATAGACTCTTGGGTTTCAAAACTGGATGAGGAATTGTGGAAAGCACTATGGCCTGACTGACACAGAGCACCAAGCACAACATTGCTCATCTTTAATCTGACCTTCAAGAAGCCACAGCTTGGGCCACAGCATTCTTTCTGTAAAATGAAGGTGTTGGACCATAAGTTTCCTTTCAGCTCTAAAATTTTTATTGAAACCACTGATTGTAATCTGATTTTCCCCCATCTTAGTCCATTGTTGAACTATTCTCTATAAGCATCTTGTTGTGAATAGCCTCCTTGTCCTATATCTGTTAATTTCTAAATAAATCCAGATTCTTTGCTTTTTGTTACAAAGCCCTATATGATACGGTCCATTCTATTTCTCTGGCCTCATCTTAAATGATTTTCCCTCTTCTTTACCACACTGTAGTCACATTGACCCTCTTTTGGCTTTTAGAATAAGTCAAGTCTATTCCCAGTCTTAGGGACCCCATGTTAGTTGTGCTCTGATCTCTACTGGCTGGCTGCTTCTTGTCATTAAGAATTTAGCTCAAATGTCACTTCAGAGAGGCTTCCCCTGACCTTTTTATTTAAAAGCCATCTATCTAGCTACTCACTGTTTCACGTTGTCTTTTTTTTTCTTTGCAATAGCACTTATAATCGGGCATTTTTCTGGTTTATTTTCTCTCTCTCTGTCTCCCCTGAAGAATATAAGGTGTACATAAAATAAGAACCTTGTCTTTGTTATTCACTGCTGTATCCCTCATAATATTGGCACATAATAGGTAACAATACTTGTTGAATGAACCAAGAAAAGATGATGGCTTTTTGCTAAGTTTCAGAGGACTTTTATGAAAGCAGATGAAAAAAGGAGTTATTATAATATCAAAAATATGATGTGCTCTATGATTCTTTAGTTATATGGACAGAATACTAGTCTGTAGATGAGAAATGTCTTAAGTTGAATTAATAGGAAAAAGCTTTGATATTTTACAGTTACATTACAATTTGCAAAAATTGATCTGATACTTTTTTTTAAAGGTTATATACATTTACTCTGGTTTTATAGGTATTTTTGGTTGCAAATACACAAATAGTCTTGGATAATGTAGGAAAAGAGGAGTTGGTTGGAAGATTATTGAGTAACACAGAGGATTAAAGGAATAGTTGGAAAACAAAGTGCCATGTTAGGCTAGGAATCAGGGCATCTGAGAACTTGAGCAGCAGGAGTTTGTGGAGCTTCTCGGTTGAGAGCCTTGCTGACATAACTTGGCATTGGTGCCTCCCAGACTTTATCTTTAAAATTCAGATTCTTAGAAGAGTGAATGTGTTTTGGGCCTTTCTGACTGGGGAAGTGAGGTTATCTACCATTACCTAGACAGGACCACTGTGAGCCTACCCTAGGTATTAGGATTATTCCTAGAGATGGGAAATTGTGATTTGGGCAGCTGTTCCAATTGGGGTCTACTGCTGTTAGGTTTTTCACTATCCTGGAAAGGATAGCAACTGTCTGTTTTGCTTATTTAAACGTTAAGGGATAATGTTTCTGCAGTGGGCATTAACATAGAATATGTAAGACCACAAGACCTTGATAGAGAATATAATGTTAATCTGTCTGGTTCCATCTCTTAAAAAAAGAAATCCTATTCAAGGAAGGGGTATTTATGCATTCTTTAAAAGACATGGGTTTCATACAGTCTTCTAAGTCAGGACTTGAGTCTAGAGGGCACCTGTTCACTATATTCCTTTCCTTCCTCCTCCAGTTGTGACTTCTTGCCACGGTGAACTACTATTACCGACTGGTGTGTTGGAGCATGGCATTTGTCTTGATCGGTGATTCTCAAAACACAGTCCTTGGACCATAGTATCTACGCTTTCTGGGAACTGTAAATGTTCAAGCCCCTTTCCATACTTATTGAATCAGAAACTCTGGGGTAAGGGCGAGGCCTAGCAATTTGCCTGTTAAGCCCTGTAGATAATTCCGATGCATGCTGAAGTATGAGAATCACTCCTCTAATTTTTTTTTTTTTTTTTGGAGAGGGGACAGGGTCAGCCAGGCTGACAGGTAGGTGATCATGTACCTGGTCATTTTGCCAGGCATCGTTTCAGGAGGCCTGAAACAGTAAGTGGTGAAGTGATGAATTAAACAGTGTCACTGGTCTTGTGGAGTGGACATTTCAGTGACAAAGACAAACAGTACACAAATGAATCTATAGCTGTAATCAGTGTTATGGAGAAACATAAAGTGGGGTAGACAGATGAATAGTGACTGTGTATGGAAGGAGGTATTCATTTTTAAGGGTAATCAGGGAAGAAATCTGTTACAATATGATGGGAATGGAGAGACAGGAACAGAATGATGGGAGGAAGGCATGAAAACCATCTGGGAGAAAAACATTCTAGGCAGAGTGAACAGCAAGTACAGCTGACTCAGGCAGGAATGTGCTTGGGAAGTGTTGTAAGATGTGAGGTTAGAGAGTTAGCACAGGGGCAGTGTCATGCCGTGGTCAAAAGTAGGAACTCAGATTCAGACTTCTAGCTAGTTTTGCTGCTTGTTTTGTGACTTTGGTACTACACTTGATCTTAACCAAAAGGCCAGGAAGTGATGATGTTTTGTGACTTTAAGCAAATTACTTTTCATTCCTGGTGTTCGCTTTTCTCATTTCTGTAATGGAGATATTAAACCTCTCACAAGATTATGAAGACTAAAGAGTTAATATGAGTGAAGCAGTTGGAAAACATCTTTATGCTATGTGTCACAAGCTCTATGAGGGCAGGAATCTTTTTGTCTTTCAGTGCTGTATTTCTAGTGCTTAGAATAGTGTCTGATAAATGGTGTATTCACAATAAGTATTTGTTGCACATATTTGTATGAAACTCATTCTTTCAAATATTGTTAAACTTTTCTTTTTCTTTAAACCTGTTGTCTTTTGCATTTGCACATAGCACCTTACTTACAGAAGTCAGTGTTAAGTTAGAGATGTGTTTTGGACTTGGCAGTGCAGATCTCTGAAACTGATATGAGAAGAAAGTCTCAGACTCAAGGTCTGAGAAATGAAGTAGTGCTATAGTCTGTAGCCCTTTGCAACGTTTTTGAAGTTTGGCCTCATGATGTGAGAATGAGAGGCTAATATGAATAGGCCACTGAAAATGTATTAAAATTTTCACAGAATTAATATTTATTAATAAAGCAGACTTCTATTGCATCTCTACTGTGTACCAAGCACATCCTAGGTAAGAATATTTAATTCTTTTGAAAAAAACTCTTTGATATAGTAAAGACAATAGGTTTCTTAGTCAGGCCTAGGTTTTGAATTCTGGCTTATCCTCTTATTGGCTGTATTTGTCAACAGTTGCCACAATAATGCTCCATGATAAAACACTCTAAAACTGGGTGGCTTAAAAATAATAATCATTTATTTCTGTGCTCATGGGTCTGTATGTTGGCTGAGGGTCTACTGGTTAGGGTGAAGCCTAGCTTGATTGAGGCTAACTGGGTGGGTTTAGATCTTCTCCATTTATGTTCCTGCTGGGCCCAGGCTAAAGCGGGCAGTGGCTGCTTAGGGCATGCTCTTATGGCAGGCCACTGGAATGCAAGATCCAAGCCAAACTGCATAAGCAGGTATAAGGCGTCTGCTCTTGTTGCTTTCCATTAGCCCAGTGATTCTCACCTGGTGGCAGTTTTACCTATGGGGACATTTGGCAATACTAGAGATACTTTTGGTGTCTAAACTTGGGAGAGGGGGTACTATTGGCATCTAGTGGGTGGAGTCCAGGGATACTGTTAAACATCCTGTAATGCACAGGGCAGTCAGCCTCCGTGCACCTCCAGCCCCCCAACAAAGAATTACCTGGACCCAAATGTCAGTAGTGCTGAGGTTGAGAAACCCTGCGTTAGTGATACCAAGTCACTTCATTTACAGAGAGAAGGGGACTGAAATAAATATTTGCCGAAAAATAATTGAGATGATCACATTGGCTTTGAGCATATGCTTGCTTTTTAGAATCTGTTTCTTTGTCTATGAAGTTATAAGGTTCACTTCATAGGATTGTTGGGAGGAGTAAAGGTAACAAATGTGTGACATCTGATAGAGCAGGCACTCTGTGGTTTTTGTGATTACACATAAGAAAAATAATCCTGTTCTTGAAGGAGTTCAGTCTTGTGTGAAGGATAAACGATTAAATTATTGAAGACTTTAAGTTTCTCATGCATTCATGAAACTACAGACATGAAAGAACATTGAAGTTATATTTAGACCATCAAATTGTTTATTTGGCTGGTCAGGTTTTCTTGTTTGAATCCATGGAGATGTGTTATAAATGATTATGAATAGAGTTAACTGATTTATTTAAGTAAAAAGTGTTATATTTTGAATGAGTCAGTAATAATTTTGTCATTAAATTTGCCTAGTTATCAATTTCAAGTTGTTAGAAATTGTTCTATAGGATCTGCCAGAGTAGTAGACTTGATAAATATTGGCAAGGTCTAGCTGTTGATGATACTAGTCGTCCTGTTAAATACATGAACAGATTAGATTGGTAAACTGCTTCCTTTGGACATGATGATTAAATTGTAGTGAGACTTCTTGGAGTTTTATGTGAATATAATTCTGATTTTCTGATGTTTTTAAAATGGGATTTAATTTTGACTAATAGCTTTGAAAGGCATCTCTTGGGTCTAGGCCATCATGAATACCCATATTGTCAAAGGTTTTGTAAGACAGACAAATGTCTTTTCAAGGATTGTGTTTTCAGCCTGTAGGATCCCAGCCTGGTTGCTATAGTTAGTAGTTTAGATTCATAATGTTATTCACAGTACACTCCACTGTCTCTCTTATAATAATACATGTTGATGATGGAACACGAGTTGTAAGTTCTCTTTCTGTTTCATTTTCCTGGGTTTGCAAATCAGCTTAGGCTCGTCATAGCTTCTGAGTTAGTTAGCATAGGGTTGTTGTTTGTCAGCAGTCTTGAGAAGTTGGTGTCAAATTGGGTGTTGAGCTGGCGTTTGTTTTAGAGGGATTATGGGGAGAGGGGCCAATTCAGTAAGTTATCTTTCCTTAAAGTCTTTGTTCCTTTGACCATTGCGGCCTTCTTATTGTTGAAGGATCACGAACTTCAGGAGTCTTGATGTACACTACTTTCACTTTCATTCTTCTGAATAACAAATGATATTAAATCAAAATTTAATGATATTCAAAGTCTCCTTTTTCAATACCCAGGTTAACACTTGATTTTTGCCTGAATATGATCATATTTTGTGAGTGAAAATAATAATGCTTTAAAATTACGATCTACACATCTGTCTTTGATAGTTTGTACAGAAATCTATTTAAAGGTAGTTTTTCTCAAAAGGTTAGTACATATTTGTATTCAGTGGAGTTGTGAAGTGATTCAGATTACATATTAAAGTTTTAATTTAGCAGTGTGATTTGATAATATAGGGCATATCTTTATGTTTTAGGTAGGGAAAACTTAATGTATAAGTTCAACTAGATCGGTTTAGTAAAAGCCAATTTATGACTCTTTGTTTTGTTTTGAAGTTTCCTCTTTATTTCACTCTGTAAGGGTATATTTAGGGCCTGTTGTGTACCAAATATTTCATAGGCTTTTTATGGTTTGGGATATACCACATTTCTTAGAATGTTAGTAAATAATTACAGAAAGGGTTACAGGACAGTCTGAAAACAATACATTTTGTTTAGCTGATATTTTTCCAACGTTTAACATTTCTTTAAATAATAAGGCCTCTCTGAGTTTTAAAAATGCAGGCACTTTCTTTTATAAATAATATATTTTAGTATTTGATAGGAACTAGTGCTTAGAAGAACAAAATGAAAGATGGGGTTGTTAGGGAAGAATTATTCAGATTAGACAGAAACGTTTGTCTATGGTTTATCTAAAAAGAGTTTCATGTTAGGATCTACTCTGTTAAAATTACTGCTTCAAAGGACTTATGGATAATTTGATATCTACTCATAGGTGTTCAATCTCCATATCTCTTAAGATTCTTGCTGAAATAGCCAAAGTATGTAATATGGAAATCGAGGAGAAATCTGCTTCTCAGTGCTATCCATATTCCAGGAACATTGAGCTGTTTCTGATAAAGATTAAAGGAAAGCTCAAGGTGATGATCTACTTTCAGCCCAATTTGAGAGAGCAGTGTCTCCGGGAGTAAAATGGCTAATAACAGAATCTTCCTCATCCTAACCCCTCAGAATTGTCACACATGAAATGGGCTATGAAGCAGTCAAAGGTTATACTGCTTGAACTCTTCCACTCATTTCAGTTCCTGTTTATAAGTAGGTGACCTAAATTTATTTTGTAAGTTAATGAGACTATGTTTTCTTTTGATTTCAGTTTGGGCGGAAAAGTACCTTAGTTTTTGAGATCACGTGCCTTTACTTTAGGGATGTTGAGGTTGAGTTTTTCAGCTACTAGCTTTTGAGATAAATTCAGTTAATCATTTCATTGGGAAAAAATACATATATATTTAAGTAATTTTTGTTTTGTTTTATCTTAGAGACAAGGTTTCACTGTGTTGCCCAGGCTGGTCTTGAACTCCTGGGCTCAAGCAATCTTCCTGCCTCAGCCTCCCAAAGTGCTGGGATTACAGGCGGGAGCCACTGCGCCCAGCCAGAAAACATATTTTATGTCTTAATAAACCCAGGATTTACAACAAGGTAGCTTACAAATAAATTGGGGATTTCTTGAAATCTTGTTTTGTCTGCCATAGAACACTGCTTTTCCCAAGTCCAAAATCAGTGTCATCAATAAGCAGCCTGTCTATCATAAACTTGGGCATCTACTTGTTTCATATTGGTATAATATTTTCTTTATTATTTGGTAGGGAATTGATTGACTTTGAAAACTTCTATCCTGTATTGTTTGGGGTTACAGAACAATGATTGTTTTGATTAGTTTCTTTGTACTTTTAAGATTGCATATAAATAGTATAAATTTGCCATGTTAAGGACAGATTAAAACAAAACTCTTAAAATTTGAAAAGTAGTTAGAACTTGAACACTAAAAAGGATATCTGAATATAAAACAGCAAAATTTTGGTATCATTTCTTCATCCTGGAAATGTTTGTGTGTGGTCTGTGCTAGGTAACAGGACACAGGAATATGAAAAGATGTAATTGCTCTCATGGTACTGATATAGCCACAATCCTGGTATGGAATAATGAGAGCTTGAACTCAGGCAATGGCAGTTGAAATGAAAAGCACAAATTAAATAGGGAGAATTTTAAGATTTCTTTATCTTTTACATGTGAAGGCTAAGAATGAGGGAAGGGCCTTGCTGGTATTGCCATTCGTTGAGAATAAAGATGTATGTGATGATTATTAAAGTGGTGACAATCAGTAAAACATATGAAAATATTGAGAAACCAAGATGTGATTATCTGAAATGATACAGTAATGATATGTTTGGGATATATGTAGGTGGGGAAGAAATGATAAAAACACAACTGGACTAATTCTGAAAGTAAACTTGGATTTGAATAGAGTTTCTATAAACTGAGTACTAAACATTTTGAAAGATTAACAATAATGAGAAAACTAACCATGAATTTTTCTTGTTATCAGGGTATATGTTAAGGTCATTAGAAGAGAGGCATTATACTGTATTAAGTGTCTGAACTCTAGAATCAACCTAGGTGTTCTAGGATTTGGGCTACTGATGTAACCTCACATGTATTAGATGTAGGTGGTAGTGGTAAGCACTGTGCAGTGGTGTTTCGAGGATTAAGTGACCTAATGCATGTAAAATACCCAGCCCAGAAGTTGGCTCATACTTGAACACTCAAAACATACTGCAGCATACTCAACACCAAAGAAATGTTGAATAACGTAGTCCTTGCACTCGTGATACTTCGATTTGACACCAGCAGCAAAGGGGAAAAATTAATAACCAGTTATAACCAAAATTTGAAATCTGTGGTATGCGAATTAGGATATCCTAAATTACGGTGTATCATTCTTTGAGTACTGATATAACTGGATAATAAGCTGAAACCATTCAAAACAAATTCACGTGAGGAAGATAGATTATCACTCTAGATGCTAAGTAACAATTAGAAAAAAGATTATTTAACCAATTAATAAAAATACGAAGGCAATAAAGGTCAACAAGTGTTTTATGACAAGAGCAGAAGACAGTATTTGTGAGAGTATGAGATCCAATGCACAAGGCCTTTTGAAAGATCCCAAACTACTTTCCAAGCCTTTATTTTGCTGCTACCCATGTTTTCTAGCCACCTAAGCAATTCACTCTTCTGTAAAAATGGCAGGTACTTTTAATTTTTCTTCCCTGTAACACTTCTTTTCTTATTTCTTCCTTCCCACCAAACATGCTCAGCTCCCCCTCATCCCACAATATTGAGCTGTAGTGCTCCTTTTGCTATTTGTATGTGCTTTGACTCCTACAGACAGTTGTTTCCCCTTAGAGTACTTTGTACCCACCTCTTAAGCTGTTATCACATGGTATGCAGTGATCTGCCTGATTCTTGCAGGTCATTCTCTGAAGTCAGGAACTCGCTCTTAGTCTTTTATTTTTTAGAAATCTATGATATCTCGCGCAATACATAGCCCATAGAAGAAACTATGTAGTGAAATTACATAGTGATTTTTCATTCTCGCAGTAAAAATTTCCTGGGATTTTTTTTTTTTAATGGGTGGGAAACTACCTGGAAATAGTGGATGCCAGAGTCTTAAACAGAAGGAATGAAATAATAAAGATCAGAGCAGAAATAAATGAAATAGAGGCCAGGAATACAACAGAAAAGTTCAACAAAACAGAGTTGGTTTTTGAAAAGGTAAACAAAATTGACAGACCTTTAGTTGGACTAACCAAGAGAAAAAAAAGTCAAAATACATGAAGGAGACATTACAACTGATACCATAGAAATAATAAGATCATAAAAGACTACTCTGAGTAAATATATGCCAAAAAATTGAACAAACTAGAAGAAATGGATAAATTCCTAAAACATACAACCTATCAGGACCACATCATGAAGGAACAGAAAGTCTGAACAGACCTATAATGAGTGAGGAGATTGAATCACTAAGTCAAAACCTCCCAACAAATAGAAGCCCAAGAGCAGACAGCTTCACGGGCAAATTCCTCTGAACATCTAAAGACGAATTACCACCAACCCTTCTCAAACTTCCAAAAAACTGAGCAGGAGAGAACACTTCCCAGATTCATTTTATGAGGCCAGCATTACCCTTAACCAAAGCCAGATAAGGACATTGTAAGAAAATAAAGTTACAGGCCAATATCCTTGATGAACAGTTGCAAAAATCCTCAACAAAATACTAGCAAACTGAATTGAATAGCACATTAAAAGGAGCGTACACCATGATCAAGTGAGATTTTTCCTCTGAATGTAAAAATGGTTCAACATATGCAAATCATTAACTGAGCTACACCAAATTAACAGAATGAAAAATAAAAACCATAAGATCATCTTAAAAGATGCAAAAAAGGCATTTGACAAAATGTAACATCCTTTCACAATGAAAATTCTCAACAAGTAAGGTATAGAACAGTATGCCACAACATAATAAAGGCTATGTGTGACAGGCCCACAGCTGACATCATACTTAATGGTGAAAAGCTGAAAGCTTTTCCTCTGAGGTCAGGAAGAAGACCCTTGCTACTTCCATTAAATATGGTAAGTTCTAGCCAGAACAGTTAGGCCAAGAAAAAGAAATAAAGGCAGCCAGGAGTGGTGGCTCATGGCTCTGATTCCCAGCACTTTGGGAGGCTGAGGTGGGCGGATCACTTGAGGTCAAGAGTTGGAGACCAGCCTGGCCAACATGAAACCCTGTCTCTACTAAAAAATACAAAAATTCACCAGGCATGGTGATGCATGCCTGTAATCCCAGCTTGCTCGGGAGGCTGAGGCAGGAGAATCACTTGAGCCCAAGAGGTGGAGGTCGCAGTGAGCTGAGATTGCACCATTGCACTCCAGCCTGGGCAACAGAGCAAGACTGTCTCAAAAAAAAAAAAAAAAAAGTAAAAGACACCTAAATCATAAAGGAAGAAATAAAATTATCTTTATTTGCAGTGGCATAATCTTGTATGTAGAAAAACCCAAGACTTCATCAAGAAATCTGTTCACTTAGTCAAGTTCTGGGATACAAAAATCAACATACAAAAATCAGTTTTCTGTCTATACACTAACAACAAACTATTCAAAAAAGAGATTAAGAGGTCAGGTATGGTGGTTAACACCTGTAATCCCAGAACTTTGGGAGGCCGAAGCGGGCGGATCACCTGAGGTCAGGAGTTTGAGACCAGCCTGGCCAACATGGTGAAACCCTGTCTCTACAAAAAATACAAAAAAAACAACTGGGTGTGGTGGTGCAGGCTGTAATCCCAGCTACTTGGAAAGCTGAGGCAGGAGAATTGCTTGAGCCTGGGAGAGACGGAGGCTGCAGTGAGCCGAGATCACATCACTGCACTCCAGCCTGGGTGACAAGAGCGAAACTCCATCTCAAAAAAAAAAAAAAGGGCTATCTCATTTACAATAGCATCGGAAAGAATAATATAATTAGAAATAATACCCAGGAGGTAAAAGATGCCTGCTCGCTGAAAAGTATAACACTGATCAAATAAATTAAAGATGCAAATAAATGGAAAAATATTCCATGTTCGTAGATTGGAAGATTATTGTTAAAATTTCCATACTTCCCAAAGCAATCTATAGATCCAGTACAATTCCTGTCAAAATTCCATTGGCATTTTTCACAGAAATAGGAAAAAACAATCCTAAAATTCACGTGGAACCACAGAAAGCACCTAATCGCCAAAACAGTCTTGAGAACAAAGCTGAAGACATTGCAGTTCCTGATTTCAAATTATATTAAAACAATTTGCTTCTGGCATAAAAACAGACACATAGACCAATGAAACAGAACAGAATCTCAGAAATAAACCTATGAATATAGAGTCAACTAATCTTTGACAAGGGTACCATGACTACACAATGGAGAAAGAATCGTCTCTTCAACAGTTGGTGCTGGGAAAACTGGATATTGACATTCCAAAGATGAAAGTGGACCCTTACTTACACCGTACATAAAAATTTAGTCAAAATGGATTAAAGACCTAAATGAATTCCCTGAAACTATAAAACATGTAGGAAAAAACACTGAATTATAAAGGTATTTGATACTGGTCTTGGTAATGATTTTTCTAGATATTACACCCAAAAAACACAAGCAACAAAAGCAAAAATAAACAGGACTACATCAAGCTGACATGCTTCTGCACAGCAAAGAAACAATCAACAAAATGAAAAGGCAACCTACAGAATGGGAGGAAATATCTGCAAACCTTATGTCTGCTAAGGGTTTAATATCCAAAAGATACCAGAATATTAACTCAGCCCAAAACAACAAAACAGCAAAAAAAAAAAAAAAATGACATCACCCAATTTAAAAATAGGCAAATAACTTTTAGACATTTTTTCAAAAGAGAATATACAGATGTCCAAAAGGCTTATGAAAAGGTGCTTAACATCACACACACACACACACACGTGCGTGTACATGCGTGGGCACAGTAGCTGTGTGGGTGATGGATGTGTTAATTAGCTTGATTGTGGTAACCATTTCACAATGTATACCTTGTATTAAATCATCACAAGTTAAACCTTGTTCATTATATCTCAGTAAAGCTGGAGGGAGGGATTCAGTCACTAAATTGTAAGTTGTATGCAGCACAGGAACTCATATGTTTAGAACTTTCTCATATAATAAGCCTGACTGGCTGTTCTCAGGATAAATCCCAAAGGACAAAGTCAGTAATAAAAAACAAAACAGTTACTATTTCCACTTTCTATTTCAACATGGAAGTATGCAGCTTTAAATTTTTGTTTTGTTTTTACATAGCCTTGTAAGAAACCTTTTCTTACACAGCACTTGTACGTAACATGTGCCATGTGTGCTATGAACAAAAATGTTTATAAAGGCCTAATATGTGAAAGGTTTTGCCAAATGTTTCCTGTAATGTTAATTATATTTTATAAATTAGCTATTTCTCCAGGAGATGTATTTAGCCACTTATTAATTTATAAGAATTAATATGAAGGTAACAAGGCATAAGATGCTCGTTTTCCCTCAAAACACAAGACATTTTGGTATATAGTCTCCAACTTACAATGGTCTGACTTAGGATTGTTTACAATGGTTTGAAAGGATATGTTTTCAGTATGCTTCTCAATTTATGATGGGGCCATCTCCAGATAAAACCATTGCAACTGAAAATATCGTAAATTTAAAACTGCACTTTCAACTCAGTGGTGGGTTTATTGGGACTTAACTCCATTGTAAGTCAAGGATCATCTGTATTCATTCTGTATTTTTAATTAAAAACAGTTGTGCTGTTAATATATAGACACAACTCTTCTCTCATCTTACATACTTGTATAAGATAGGCCCACTAGTGTTGACTAGATTGGGTGTGGTCCGTTTTTTGTCTTC
The DNA here is from genome assembly GCF_000001405.40 of Homo sapiens. Taxonomy (NCBI): domain Eukaryota; kingdom Metazoa; phylum Chordata; class Mammalia; order Primates; family Hominidae; genus Homo; species Homo sapiens. Next base: position 163,468,116 of record NC_000006.12, read on the forward strand.
TGCTAAGTGAAAGACTTCAGAAAATATACATATACGCTTCTGTGAATGTATTTGTTTCATACCCACTGTGTTGCTTATGTGATATAATGAAAGATTTGTAAGGCATCTAACTAAAATCACCCTAGAAATAACTAGACACAATATTTAAAAACATTATCAATCTGTTGTGCAAAAAGCAATCCAAAAAAGTGCATTTTTTAAATGAAAACTTGGTCTCTCCCCTTGTCCCCAAATTTTAGGCACAGATTACACTTTATCAGTTCTTAGAAGTGTTTCACTTGAGGTGCTTTTCGAAATCCATTTTTTATTATCTATTGTGATAATGTGTTGCAGGAGTTTATCTTTAATTAGGGAATTTTAAAAAGGTTAATGGAAGGGTTTTCTATAATGCTTTACATTTTGTCATTGGGAAAAATCTATCATTTCCATTTAAAATGAAGTGTGAGCAGCAATGAACAGCATTAGACATAATTGTTGTTAAACCTCTTCTTTGTAAATTAACATGCCACTTGGCAGAAATATAATTGGTGAGCCACAGAGAAGGTCTGTATTTAAACAGTAGGGTTAATGAATATCTTTTTTTCCCCTTTTTCTTTCCCTTCTTTTGGCCTTTAAAGTTGCACTTAGCTCAGGCTGTTTGAAATGATTTTCTTTGAAAGTGTTGTGACATTGTTTTAATTGAATGAAGCTGCAGAACTGGCGTGATAAATCAACACAGAATGAATTTTAATGCAAGGCAAACGATATTAACCTGGAAATTGGTTGCAGTAGACAAAGCAGCTGCTGTGATTAGTTTTTTTTTTTTCTTCATTCTCTACTTACAACATTTTGAGAAGGATGACCTCGACAATTTCAGCTGTACTAGAGTCCTGATGGCTTGCACCTTAACATCCTTGAGCTGTTTGTGGCTTCTTGGGGCAATAGTGATTGTTTCATTTTTTAAGGTTAGTAAAATTTTTTAAGGTTAGTAAGATTAGTAAGGTTAGTAAGATTTAATGTGATTTTAACTGCTTTACAAATATTTTTAATTTAGTAAATCATAATTGTGAGGATTAATTAGCTGTGGTAGAAGCCCTTTTCTATGTAATCTTGATGTGGTTCCAGCCAAGGAGGGTTAATACTTGAAAAGCATGGGGTATGCCAAACAAGGCTCTATATGTGGTCACAGAGTGTAGGGCAGCTGGTTTCACAAAGGGTACGGGTCAAAACCAATTACATATTAGTGATTTGTACTAAAGTATCTCTGTTCATAATGCATTTTTCCAGACATTTTTGGGCCATATGTGAAGTATATAATGTGTATCTAGTTAGTGACAATTTGGGAAAAGATCTGTATAGAGTACAACTATTATTGAAGAGTAGCTGGCAAGGTTACTTAAAGAAATAGCCAAGGTAACAAATATAGTAGAGGCATTTTCACAGACTTCTTGAGAGCAGAGTTTCGTTATTCTCAATCCTTCACATTTACTTCACTCCTTGCCACATAATAAGCCTTAAGTAAATGTTTTGTTGAATTTGAAAATGAAAGGCTGTTCTCTGTTTTACTGAAAAACAGTGGGTGAGTGATAGCATGTAAAGATTATTATCTCTGTCCAGGTTGGAGGAGTGGGGAAGTGAAATTTAATGTAATCTGTGACTTACATAAACTGGTTAAGTGATGATGTTGTAGAAAAAAGTAGGAAGAGCTTATTGGAGATGAACATAAGGCCAGGCATGTTGATAGATTTTCTGTTATGTTTCTTTTTTATTCAGATCCTCATTTCAACATTGTTACACCATACTACCTTATGTCAATTCTAGACCTCTTTAGATTAAAAAGCAACTGCTCAAAAAGTGCCAGTAGACTTGTGTTTGTTAAGGACTGACAAGATAATGCAGGCCAGCTGAGCAATTCCAGGAAAATAGGATACAATAGGAAAAAAAATAACTGAACACATCAGAGATTGTGAATCAGCAAGATTGTGAAGAATTACTAGTTCATGGTCTTCAGGAGGTGAGATGATCAAGGATATAACCGTGTTTTGGGGGATCTCTTTTTCTGCTGAGCACGTTTGCAGAATCTGGAGAGGACAGACGAAAGGCTGAGCTTTGGGGGATAGCGTTTGGAGTCTATAATTTGTCTATGTGAACCTCCCTTGCCATGCCCAGCCTAGTCTTCGCTTGGGGGTAGGGACACTGATGGATACGTACTTTAGGAGTAAGAATGAACTAGGAGGTTGCAGGTCCTCACAGAGACAGTATCTCAGCTCAAAATTGTCTATCTCAGTAAGTGAAATTGCATTGATCCTGGGTTGCTAGTAATAGTAGGTGCCTGGCAGAAGCTGATATGTATCTTTCCTGGAGGAAGATATTATTGTCTTTGGCCTTATATTATTTTTATAAGCTATTTAGTTAAGTGTATTGTCTGACACACACTAGAAAATAAGCACACAAGGAGACAAGATGACATTAACAAAAATCTGAAGAAACAGTCTGAAAAACAATACAAAATCCACATACTCTAGATTTTAGAATTTCAGACCCAGACTTTATAAGATCTGTAAGTTTTCAATGTGGAAGGAGACAGAAGAAAAGGAAGAGAAATGGAAGCTATAAAAGAAAAACTAAGCCAGAAAATTATTTACCTACTATTAACAGGTGGGTTTAACAGAAGATTAGAAGCATTTGAAGAGAGAATTAGTAAACTGGAAGATAGCTCAGAAGAAAATTTTCAGCATGGAGATGCAGAGGGATGGAAAAAAGTAGAAGGGAATGTGAAAAGTAAAAGGAATATAGTGAGAAAATTTAATATATGTAGTTGTAGTATTAGAAGAAGAGGAGAGGTGGAATGGGACAGAAGCAGAGTTTGAGGGAAGTGTGTTTCAGAACTATAAAACCAAAGAAAGAAATAAAGTCACAGATTTGTGAAATTGTGGTTTTCTTTATATTTATCATACTTACTGATAAACATGATAAAGGAGACCACACCTTGGCAAGTGATAATAAAACAACTGAAAAGTAATGATGAGAAAATCTTAAAGCAGCTAGAAGAGAGAAAAGATCACCTTCAAAGGAGCAGCGGGAAGACTTAGTTCACTTCCATTAGTAACAGTGGAATGAATCCAGGAGATGGTGTATAAAGAATCTTTAAGGTGCCCTTCAAAAATAAGACATTTTCAGATAAGGAAAAATGGAGAGAGTTCATTACTAGAAGACGTTCACTAAAGGAAATGCTGAAGGTTGTTTTTCAGGCAGAAGAATGATGATTATTTGAAAAGTTGAAGATGCATAAAGGAATAAAGAGCAACAAAAATGGTAAAATTGTTGATAAACCTAAATGCATATTTGTACAAAGTGAAAATAATGGCCTGTTGAGTTTAAAAGATACAGAATTTGAAAAACAAAGGCATATAAACTGGATTGAGGATAAATATTACACTTTCTGAGGTCCTTGTATTTGTATGGGAAAAGGGTAAAAGTACAAATGAACATTAATGTTTGATAAGTCAAGGAAGCATGTTGTAAATACTAGGGTGAACAAGCATATAACTTCCAAACTAATAGAAGAAGAGAACGAAGAAAATACGTTCATATTTTCTTCGTCCGCCCACATCCAGGAAAAAGAGGCAAGAAAGAAAAGAAAATAAGTAGAGGACATAGAAAACACTTAGTAAAAAGATTTAGTAAACCATGTAGTATAAATTGGCTGTTCCTGTTAAAATTCAATGAAGAAACAACTCATTTAGATGATTTTTACAGGAGTCCTGTTTAAAATAAGGATAACAAAAGTTTGAAGGTAATAGATTGGATCAAGAAAAGACACATAAGAAAATAAATTCTATCTATATTAGTATCAGTGTAAGCTTAATGGCAAAAGGCATCTCTAGAGATAATAAAGAAGGCCACTTCATAATGACAGAAAGATATACACTTGACCCTTAAACAACATGGGGCTGAGGGGCACTGACTCCCTTTGCGGTAAAAAATCCACGTATAACTTTTAACTACCTCCAAACGTAACTACTGATAGCCTACTGTCGACTGGAAGCCTTACCGATAACATAAACAGTTGATCAACACATTTTGTATGTTACATGTATTAACACTGTATTCTTACAATAAAATAAGCCATTGAGAAGAAAATGTTTTAAAGAAATCATAAGGAAGAAAAAATACGTTTATTATTCATTAAGTGGAAGTAGATCATAAAGGTCTTCATCCTGGTGGTCTTTACATGGAGTAGGCTGAGGAAGAGGAGGAAGATTCAGGTTTGGTCTTACTGTCTCAAGGGTGGCAGAGGCAGAAGGAGGTGATGGAGGTGGGAGGGGTGTCATACTTGGTGTAATATTTGTGGAAAAATGTTCTGTAAGTAGACCCACATAGTTCAGACCTATTGTTTAAGGGTTGGTTGTAATTGCCTTTACACATATACAGCAAAAATAGAAGTAAAAGGCGAAACAGGTAAAATTTAATCACACCAGACTTTGCATTCTTTTTAAGCACCTATGGAATATTTACAAAAATTGACCATATGCTATGCTGAAAAGCAAGTTTGAACAAATATTAAGGATGGCTATTACATATAACATGTTTGCTGATTACACTGTAGGAAGCTAAAAATCAAAACTACAGGAAATTATATGTTGAAATGAGCATAATATATTTAAATATTTAGTAGATGTCAAATTACCTTGACTTTGAATGAAAATGAAACTGCTCCCTATCTGAATTTGTGGGATACAACTAAAACCAGCTTAGAGGTATATGTAAAGCTTTAGATGTATATGTTAGAAAAGAAGGAATACAATAAGCAAAATATTCATTTCAAAAAATTGGAAAAAGAACAGCAGATTAAACGAAGGAAGGGAAAAAGAACAGCAGATTAAACGAAGGAAGTAGAAGGAAGGAAATAAATGAAGAGTAGAAATCAATTAAAGACAAACACAAAATGAAGTAATTCAATATATCAGCTAGCTATCTCTACATTATAATAAACTACTCCAAAATCTTAAGTAAACCACTTGTTGAGCTCCTTAGTCCTTCTTCCAGTCAGCTGTAAGGTCAGTCAGGTAGTTCTACTTCTGGGAGTTGCGTGGTTGCAGATATTGATGATGACTGGGTCACTGTCTTTCATTCCCCAACAAGTTTTAGTCCAAGCTTGTTTACATGGGGGAAAGGGGCTCTAAGAGAGTAGAACCACGTAAGACTAACACTGAGGCATATCATTCTCACCACTACGTTGTATTGGCCAAAGCAAGTCACAATGCTAGCCTAGATTCAGGAGGTGGGAGGAGATGCAGATTCCCTTTGCAGATGGCATGGACACAATGAGGGGCAGAGAATTATGGTCATTTTTGAAATCAGTCTACCTCAGTCAACAAAAGCAGGTTCTTTTAAAACACTTTTGAAGACAGATCAAGAGAAAGGAAGATACAGGTAACCAGTCAAGAATAAAAAAATGAGACATCGTTTCAGATCTTATTGGTATTAAAAATAAATTAGGCATCTATTTTAAATCAACAAATTTGAAAATTTAGACAAAATGGATACAACTTAAAAATTGACATACGAAGGAATAGAAAGTCTGAATCCATAATTTAAAACTTTCTGTAGTGAAATCTCTAGGCTCAGGTAGCTTCACCAGTGAATTTTATTCATTATTTAAGGAAGAAATAACAGCCATATACAAGCCTATCTGGAGAGTGGAAAAAGGAGGAATACATTCCAACATGTTTTGCTACCAGAATAACCTTGATACCAAAACCTGAGACGTGTATTATGAGAAAGAAAAATTGTGGGCCAGTTCTATTTATGAATGGACATTTCTTAAAAAAAAAAATCACCAGAATGCCAGGAAACAATTTGCTCAAGTTGATTTTGCATTAAATTGGTTTAACATTTGAAGTTGAAATTGAATTTGAAATTAAATTTGAAGTTGAAGTTGGTTAACATTTGCAGTTGAAATCCACTGCAATAACAGAATTAAGGAGAAATGTTGTTTTAATAGATAGTGAAAAATGATAAATTTAGATATCCACTTGTAGTTGGGAACTCTTAGCAAACTAAGAAATAGAAGGGAATTTTAATGTGATAAAGTGTATCTTCAAAAAGTTTAAGATTAAACTTTATGGTGGACTGTTGAAACCTTTATTCTTGAAATTTGGAACAAGTCAAGGATGACACACTTTTATTTGGCTTTGAACTCAAGGTATGCTGACCAGTACTGTAAGGATAGCAAGAAAAAGAAATAAAAATATATGATAGGAAAGGAAAATAGAGAACTGTCATTATTTCCAGGTGATGTGATTGTTTAGCATCCAAAAGAATCTACAAAAGATTTATGAGAGTCAGTAATGAAGAAATGCTGGTTGTAAGGTTGATAGAAAAAAACCCAATTATATGTTCATATACCAGAAACAGAAAATGAAAACTTAAAATTATGATATACGGTAGCAGAAAAAGCCCTGTAAATTTGTAGGAATGAATCTTAACAACAACAAAAGTAAAAACAAGTAAAGGCACAATCAAAAAAGCTCTACATTTTTGAGGCTAGACATGGTGTCTCCAGCCTGTAATCCTAGCTCTTTGGGAGGCTTAGGCACTGGGGTGGAGTGGGGGTGAGGATGGCTTGAGTCCAGGAATTTTGAGATCAGCCTGGGCAACGTAGTGAGACCTGATGTCTACAAAAAAGTTAAAAAAAAAAAAAAAAAAAAGCCAGGCATGGTGAGGCTGAGGTGGGAGGATTGCTTGAGGCCAAGAATTCAAGGCTACAGTGCTCTATGATTGTGCCACTTGCACTTTAGCCTAAACAAAAATAAACTTGACGTTATTGAGAGAGATGAGAGATAACTTAACCAAATGGAGAAATTTTACCATGTTTATGGTTTTTGAAGAGTCTATATTATAATGTGATCTCAGTGAAAATTCTTGCAAGTATTATTTTAGAAATTGATGGACTTATTCTAAAATATGTGGAAATGGAAAGGGCCAGGAATAGCTAAGCCACTCTTGAGGAAGAGCAAGAGAGAAGAACTTGGTGTACCATATAATTTACCATAATTAATACAGTATGATGTTAAAGTAAAGATAAATAAATGGAATAGACTAGAGAGCTCCAAAACAGACCTAAGTACTGTCAGCTGTTTGTATCCTCAGGTTCCACATCTGTGGATTCAACCAACCTAGGATCAAAACTTTTAGGGGAAATATTTAAAATGGTTGCATTTGTACTGAAATATACAAATTTTTTCTTGTCATTATTTCCTAAGCAATGCAGCATAACAGTGATTTACACAGTATTTACATTGTATTAGGTATTTTAAGTAATCTAAAGATGATATAAATTATATTGGAGGTTGTGCATAGGTTATGTGCAAATATGACACCGTTTTATATAAGGGACTTGAGCATCTGTGAATTTTGGTGTTTGTGTGGGGACCTGTAACCAATCCCCCCCACCCCAGATACCAAGGGACGATTGTGTAGATAAATATTTATGACAGTGATGACACTGGAGCAATTGGAAAAGAGTAGTCTTTTCAATAACATTTCTATTCAGTGACATTCGTATATTTAATAACATTTGGATATTCATGTGAGAGAAGAAAAGAAAATTATAACACAGACATCAATTCCTGGTACACTGTAGATGTAAATTCGAAAGACTTAACAATAAAGCTTCTAGAAGATAACACCAGAAGGTATCTTGGTGACCTTAGGGTGGGGAGAGACTTCTTTTAAACAGGACACAGAAAACACTAACCATGAAGATAAGGTTGAAAATTTGAACTGTGTTAAAATTAAAAACTTTCAGTCATCATAAGACACCATTAAAGAGGGAGAAGACGAGCCACAGGATGGGAAAAATACTTGTCAGTTGTGTAACCACAAAGTAGAAATCAATAAGGAAAAGGTAACACAATAGAAAAACACAGGAAACTTCAAATGTCCTTCAAAAAATGCATATCCAAATGGCCAACAAATGTGAAAAAAATGCTTAGCTTCATTAGTAGTCAGAGGAATGCTAATTGAAACATTTAATACATACACTAGAATGGTTAAAATATAAAAACACTGATAATAAATATTGGAGAGGAAGTGGATCAAAATAAATTTTTATACTATACGGAGGATAAAAATATGTACAACCATTTTAGAAAATAATTTAACACTATGTACTAAAGTTTTTTTTTTTTTTTTTAAATCATCTTCTTTGTCCTGTAGTCTTTTTTTTCTCAAGGGTCAGTCTCTTGTCCTGCTTCTTTATCTTGTCCTGTCTCTCTCATGATAGAGCCCTTCTTGAACCTTTGGTGAACATTGTTTAAGTGTGAAACAATGAAAATCTGAATTAGGAGCTTGTGTTCATGAACAGAGCTGTCCGCTGCCAACCTTAATTTGGGGTGACCCCCTAAAGTGCTAGTCTTTGAGATGGAAGTCATATAATGGAACACAGAATTCTTTTCGTGGGTTATTTCAATTTTTCTAGAGAAAAAACTAGCCCATTACCTACAAGTCAGAAGCCTGGCCTTTGCTGTTCTGTGGGCAGTGATGGTCGCTTGTTCTGTGTATTAGTTCCACCTTTTCATTCTTGTTTTCTGCAAAACTCAGTGTGTGAGTGTCCAGTCTCTCTGGAGTTCTGTAGGGCAAGTTTGCTGCTGATCACATCTCCTTCTAGAAATGACATTCCAAGCTTAATTAAGAGTAAGAGCCTGAGGTTTTAAGCAAAGGATTTGTATTAGACTTGGTAGGCTATTGTGACTGTATGGCAAACTTTTTACTGGACCTTGTGTATGTATTGTGCTATACACATACATATCTGTACATGCCATCATCACTATAGCTCTGTCAGATAGTATTATCCCCATTCTGTAATTGAGGCTTATTTGATGTGATTTTCAGATTCCTTTTTTTGTTTTGTTTTGTTTTGTTTTTTTTTTTTTGAGACAGAGTCTCGCTTTATTGCCCAGGCTGTAGTGCAGAGGCATGATTTCAGCTCACGGCAACCTCCACCTCCTGGGTTCAACTGATTCTCATGCCTCGGCCACCCAGGTAGCTGGAATTACAAGCATGCACCACCAAGCCTGGCTAAGTTTTGTATTTTTAGTAGAGATGGGGTTTCACCATGTTGGCCAGGCTCGTCTTGAACGCCTGTCCTCAAGTGATCCACCCCGTCTTGGCCTCCCAAAGTGTTGGGATTACAGGTGTGAGCCACTGCGCCTGGCCAATATTCAGATTCCTGATTACTGTTTTCATATTTGAGCTTGGATACCAGCTAGAATCTGTGTGCTCTCAGAGTTTAAGCACATAACCGTAGTATACTACTTGAGTTTATTTAAATTGGAGATGTAGGAAGGTTAAGTTGATGAGTTTCTAAATTGGAAGTACTTTGTTAAAATGGATCATGGTGGGGGTTTAGGTTGGGTAAAGAGGTAAAATTACTATATACTGAAGCACTGGGCAAAGATAAGGGACTTTATCTGAATATAAAGAGCTATTAGCAGATTTCAGAATCTAGGATCTTGAAGAGCTAAATTAAGTGCTTATAGATGAGTCTGTGAGTCTCAACAGAGGGTGAAATAAGATGTATGAAAATCCCCTCGGAGACTTTCTTCGAATGATACAGGCGTACTACCTACCACCTTTCATTTGAGAATCACTTTTCTAAGGTGTGACAATGCAAAATAAGAGCCAGTGGAGTACAGATGATACCAGAAGTACCCAGCTTCTTAAGCCCTGATGGCAGTGGATTTTCTAGCACGTTACTTTTATGTAATGATATACTAAAAGTTGGATAAATGCAAGAAAAAAGTAGAAGACCATATGCATAAGAATCAGTACCTATTTGATTGAATAAGTAAATGAAAACCACCTGTGGAATTTTGTGGAACTGATAGCAAACTCTTATATTTTGGCCTTTATGCAGATAACATGCAAATGAGGAAAATTTACTTTTCACGATTTAGCCCGTTTTTCCTATTGGCTTTAAAGAAATAACTTGTATATATGAATATTAGGAATTTCTGTTGAGGGATGGTAATTTTTTATTTTTTTATTGTACAGTTTTTAATTTATACAATTATTGATATCACTGGCCTATTTAGTGATATTCAGAGTTTAGGTTTCTTATAAGTTAAAGGTAGAAAGGAATATGTACTCTTAAGACACATTTAGTGTAGCCAACCCATAGTTTTCGTAACATATTTCTGAACAGTTGCTTTGGAGAAAGTATAATTTTTCTTAGGTAAATAAAAGAGGACTTTCCCCAAAGGATTTTGGTAGAAAGGGCAGTGCCTAACAATTTCTTCAACACTGTCATGACAAAGAGACAGTTGGACATTTTGTGGAAGGGACTTGTATTCTTGGCTGGCATCTAATATTTTGTCAAACTCTTTAATACTCTCTGTTTTAGGTTATTTGTTGATGGACAGTTGTATCTGTTCTAGCTGTATACTGTTCCCAGTTCATAGTTTGTGTTAATACTTGTGAAAATATAATGCTAAACGATGAGCTATTGTAATTAGACCTGAGACTTAGCAAGAAATTCATAAGGGCTCTAGATTTTATTTCAACTTAGTATTAAAAAGACATTTAACTTCAGTAAGTAAATGTAGATATACTTTATATTTTAAGAGCTGTAAGTTCCAGCAAGTGAATAATGTATAGTGATCCTTTTTTTTTTTTCTCAGTTTAATTTTGTTGGGAGAATCCTTGGACCTAGAGGACTTACAGCCAAACAACTTGAAGCAGAAACCGGATGTAAAATCATGGTCCGAGGCAAAGGCTCAATGAGGGATAAAAAAAAGGTAAGTCCTTGAAAATGGACTAAGTCTTTATGTGAGTAACTTACTATACTTTTACATCGTAATAATAAAATTTCCAGATTTTTTTGTGCTTAAAACACTATATTCCAGGCCGGGCGCGGTGGCTCACGCCTGTAATCCCAGCACTTTGGGAGGCCGAGGCAGGCGGATCGTCTGAGGTCAGGAGTTTGAGACCACCCTAGCCAACATGGTGAAACCCTGTCTTTACTAAAAAAAATACAAAAATTAGCTGGGCGTGGTGGCGGGCGCCTGTAATCCCAGCTACTCAGGAGGCTGAGGCAGGAGAATTGCTTGAACCCGGGAGGCAGAGATTTCAGATTGTGCCACTGCACTCCAGCCTGGGCAACAGGAGTAAAGCTCTGTCTCAAAAACGAACAAACAAACCCACTATGTTCCATGTCAGGAACTTTTAAACTTTTTAAAGGTGTTGTCATGATTTTCCCTTGTTTTTCTTTTTTCTTTGTTTGTTATTTTTGAGACGGAGTCTCGCTATGTCACCCAGGCTGGAGTGCAGTGGTGCAATCTTGGCTCACTGCAGCCTCCGCTTTCTGCATTCAAGTGTTTCTCCTGCCTCAGGCTCCTGAGTAGCTGGGATTACAGGCGCACGCCGCCATGCCCAGCTAATTTTTGTATTTTTAGTAGAGATGGGGTTTCACCATGTTGGTCAGTCTGGTCTCGAACTCCTGACCTCGTGATCCACCCACCTCAGCCTCCCAAAGGTCTGGGATTATAGGCGTGAGCCACCACGCCTGGCGGTTTCCCCTTGTTAATTATCATTTTTTACTTAGCAAATTAAAATATCAGTTCATCATGTTACCTTCCTTTGTCATTTACTTTTGGGAAGCTGCCAGTTTGGAAATTAGTCAGACTGTAATGTGTGTAAAAGTATATAAAAGTTTTGAAAAATCTGAAATTTTTCTTTTGATGAGATTTAAATAAGAATGGTCAAATAACTTTGGATGTATGTCAGATCACTGGGAGAGTTAGAAGACAGAAATCTATTAGAAGGAAGGCTATCACTAGCCATATGAGATACACTTTGGGTTTCATCAACATTTTGTGTTGATTTTACATTTTAAAGTATATTGTTTCTGTTTCTGTGGGTTTTTTTCTCCTGCCATTTCTTCTTTTGCTGGTTTAATTAGTAAAGACCCAACTATCTAAATATTATTGTTAGGAAGATTTTATTTACCTAGTTTGTCTTACCCAGCAATACTGTGAGGCAGGATAGTTTTGAATTTCTATTCTTGTAAAAATTGGCGGATTTAAAAAAATAGATTTTGATGGCCAAAGATTAAAAGTGTTTTAGGAAGGTTTGGTCTGTCTGTCTGTCTGTCTGTCTCTTTCTCTCTCTCTCTCTCTCTTTCTTCCTTCCTTCCTTCCTTTCTTTCCATTGACTTGAAGGGGCTATCTAGGAATAGTGCGTGGTTAGCTGTGTTAGACCAGTACGCTGAATCGCTTTGTGGAACTTACGGAATGAATACCAAACCCACAGGGTATCTGATAAACTTGTTTTCTGAGCCCTCCGCCTCATGTCTTTTAAGCCCTCACATAAGCTGACTGGATCTCATTCATTTTTGCTCCTCATCAATGATTTAGTAGCCAAGAAATTTGGGCAAAAAGTTCTCATAATATTGATTATTTAAAAATCTTATTATAATGTATTCCTTGTCAACTGTGTTTAAAGATATGTTCATGGGAGTCTGTGAGTTCTCCTTGAGCAATTTTAGATGTATTAAATTTTTTTATGAGAATCTTAAAAAAATGTGCATATTTTGAATCAGTTGAGTGATAATCTTTTCAAATGAACGTTGCCATGAAGTTTTGGTTCTCATGTTTGGACTTAGGATTATGTGGTCATTAAGTAATACTAGTTTAATTGCCTATGGACAATGAATGAAGTCTTGACAACTGGCAGATATATAAATCTGTATGAAAAGATTAGTATATATTCATCAGTTAGGCTATTCTGTCAGCCAGTTAACAAAACCCCTTTTTCCCTGCTTCTGAGTTTCTGTGAATTCTGCAGTAATGGCCCCCCACTCAACCTTGCTTACTGTTTCAAGCCCTCACAGACAATGAGCATTAGAGCTTATAACTGTGTGATTATACTGTTGCACTCTTATAAGTGTTTATAATAAAAGTAAAGTCAGAATGGAATGCTTGGCCATTTGGTAAAGAACATGAAAAGAGATGGAAACAAAAAGAAGTATTGATGTAAGTAATAAAGATAGCTCATTGAGATGTATTTCAGGAGTTCAAGAGGAAAAGCCATTTGCTTTAAACTTTTCTACAGAGTTGTCCATGTATATATAGACATGTGTGTATATATATATATGTGTGTGCGTATATATATAATGTGTATATCTATATGTGTGTATATACTGATTGCCTGTTTTACTTTTAACACAAAATGCTACGATGGGAATGGTGTGTGCTGGTCTGAATCCTTCCCTACACTGGTAAACTCAGTGAGAGCCTACCATGGCTATTCTATGGAGTATTAATTTCCTTGGTGTTTGGTGAGTACCTGGCACAGAGTGCAGGCACTTGAAAAAAATACCTGTGAAAGGAGTGACTAGTTCAGGTAATAAATGAAAGGCTTAGGTGTACCTTCCCTCATGTTCCCCGAAAAGGTTGGTTAAATAAAGAAAATTGTAAATGCTATGTACTTCTAATGCTTTGGGGAAGTTAGTACTATATTATTCTAAGCTGCTGGTTTTTAGCAAGTAAGTTAATATGCCACTTTAGTTTTCATTTTCTTGGATTGTTATTATTTCAGCATTATTGATGGGCTCAACAGCATTGATTTAGTGCATAAATACCCAGTGGAATGGTACTAGTTAAGATCATGGAACCAGGGCTTGAAAACTATTATGAACTTCTTGTCTGTACCAGCTATTTTGTAAATGAAGAGACCAAAGCCTTGGGGAGGTTGAGTAATTTGCCAAAGGTCACACGCCAAAATGTGGCAGTCAAATTTGAAACTAGGCTGGGCACAGTGGCTCACACCTGTAATCTCAGCACTTTGGGAGGCTGAGGCAGGAGGATCCCAGGAGTTGAAGACCAACAAGGTCAACATAGTGAGACCCCCATCTCTACAATAAAACTTAAAAAATAATTAGCCAGGTGTGGTGGCGTGCACCTGTAGTCCCAGCTGCTAGGTAGGCTGAGGAGGGAGGATGCTTGAGCCCAGGAGTTGAGGCAACAGTGAGCTATGATTGTGTGCCACTGCACTCCAGCTTGGGTGACAGAACGAGACTCTGTCTCGGGGGAAAAAAGAAAAAGAAACTGAATTCTGAGTTCTATTCTGTGGTACATTATTTTCTAATTATAAACCATTTCTAAGAGTGATAACTTCAGACATACTAGAACAACTTGAATATTGAGTATTAGAAACTTTGACTACCATTTCACACACCACCCAGTACACTTGTGACCCCAGATGTTGTAAGGGTTTCTCCCCACAAACCAAACAAATCTCCAGAAAACACCATCTGAATGTCCTCTAATTCAGTTCAAAACTGGGAATAATGTCACATACCACAGGCTGAGGGCTCAGTCCCCTAAGACTGTCTCCACTTCAGATGCCAGTTACAAGCCCCAGTGGTGACCTGTGCTTTTGACTGACCAGCTGTAAATGTGTTTTTTTGCAAGTCCCTCGTCGGGTTCAATTAATTTGCTAGAGTAGTTCACAGAACTCAGGGAAGCACTTTACTTATTTATTATAAAGGATATTACAAAGGATACCGACGAACAGCAGATGGAAAAGATGCATAGGGCAAGACATGTGGGAAGGGGCTCAGAGCTCCCATCCCTTCTCCAGTGTGCCACCCTCCAGGTGCATCCATGTGTTCAGCTATTTGGAATCTCTCCAAACCCCGTCCTTCTGTTTTTTTGTGGAGGTTTCATTATGTAGGCATGACTGATGTTCATCATTGGCCATTGGTGATCGACTCAACATTCAGCCTTTCTCCCTTCCTTAGAGGTTGGGGAATGAGGCTGAAAGTCTCAGCCCTCTGTATACTTGGTTAGGGTTTCTCTGGAATCAGCCTTGATCTTGAGACTATCCAGGGCCCCCACCCATTTGTCACTTCATTATACAGAAAGACACAAACAGGTTCCAGACCACCACAATAAGGGAACATTGCGATAAAGCTAGTCACACATTTTTTTAGTTTCCTAGTGCATATAAAAGTTATGTTTATACCATACTATAGTCTATTAAATTTGTAACAGCATTATGTCTAAAAAATATACATACCTTAGTTTAAAAATACTTTATTGCTGAAAAATGCTAATGATCATCTGAGCCTTCAGAGAGTTTTAATCTTTTGCTGGTGGAAGGCCTTGCCTGGATGTTGATGGCATGTTGATGGCTGCTGACTGATCAGGGTGGTGGTTGCCAATGGTTGGGGTGACTGTGACGATTGCTTAAAATAAGAACAACGAAGTTTGCCTCATGGATTTGCTCTTCCTTTCACAAAGATGTCTCTAGCATGCAGTGCTTTTTGATAGCATTTTACCCACAGAACTTTTGCTGTTGCTTTATAAACTAAGTTTATGTAATATTATAAATTTTTTTTTGTCATTTCAACAGTGTTCACTGTATCTTCACTACAAATACATTTCATCTCAAGAAATCACTTTCTCTGCTCATCCATAAGAAGCAACTCCTGATCAAGTTTGATCATGCAGTTGCAGCAATTCAGTCACATCTTCAGGCTACACTTCTAATTCTAGTTCTCTTGCTCTTTCCACCACATCTGCAGTTTCTTCCTCCATCATACTCCTAAACCCCTCAGAGTCATCCTTGAGGGTTGGAATTAACTTTTTCCAGACTCCTGCTAATGTTGATATTTTGACCTCTCTCCATGAATCATGAATGTTCTTAATGGCATTGAGAATGGTGATTCCTTTCCAGGAGGTTTTCAATATACTTTGCCCAGATTTATCAGAGGAATCACTGTCTGTGGCAGCTATAGGCCTATGAAAGACATTTCTTAAATAATAAGGCTTGAAAGTCTAAATTACTCCTTGATCCATGGGTTACAGAATGAATGTTGTGTTAGCAGGAGTGAAAACAACATTCATCTCCTTGTACGTCTCTACCAGAGATTTTGGGTTACCAGGTGGATTGACAATGAGCAGTAATATTTGGAAAGGAATCTCTTTTTCTGAGCAATATGTCTCAACAGTAGGCTTAAAATATTCAATAAACCTTTCTCTGCTGACATCCAGGCTTTGTTGTTCCAATTGTAGAGCACAGGCAGGGTACATTAGCCTTTTTTTTTTTTTTTCTTTTTAAGACAGAGTCTCACTCTACCGCCCAGGCTGGTGTGTAGTGGTGCAATCTCAGGTCACTGCAACCTCCGCCTTCTGGGTTCGAGCAGTCATGCCTCAGCCTGCTGAGTAGCTGGGGTTAGAGGCATGCACCACCACACCCAGCTAATTTTTTGTATTTTTAGTAGAGATGCGGTTTTGCCGTGTTGGCCAGGCTAGTCTCGAACTCCTGGCCTCAAGTGATCTGCCCACCTTGGCCTTCCAAAGTGCTAGGATTACAGGTGTGAGCCACTGCACCTGTCCCATTTAGCATAATTTTTAAGGGCCCTAGTATTTTTGGAATGGTCAATCAGCATTTGCTTCAACATAAAGTCACCAGTTGCATTAGCCCCTAACAAGAGAATCAGCCTGTCTTTGGAAGGTTTGAAGCCAGGCATTGACTTCTCTCTAGCTATGAAAGTTTTAGATGTAATCTTCTTCCATTAGCAGTCCAGACACACACAGTACTTGTCACTTAAGTTCACTGTCTTATATGGGCATGGTTTGGTGTGCCCCAGAACAATTACAGTAGTAATTTCAAAGATTACTATCTACAGGTCACTATGGCAGACATAATAATAATAGTAATGTAAAAGTTTGAAATATTGTGAGAATTACCAAAATGTGGCTTGGAGACACGAATTGAGCACATGGTGTTGGAAAAATGGTGCCACAAGATTTGTTTGATGCAGGGTTGCCATAAGCCTTCAATTTGGAAAAATGCAGTATATGTGAAGTACAATAAAAGGAGGTATGCCTGTATTACTTGGGAGATTCAGGGGTTTTAGGAGATTTGTGCCAGGAAACAAAGACCAAATATATTTATTTCATCATAAATCACAATATCATACTATCATTCCTTTGATTTTTCAGGAATTCTCCCTAGAGGATTTAATCCCATGTACTTAATGGAAATCTATATACTTGAGCAGATTACAAATGCTAGAGGAGTAATTTTAGATGAGATCGGGTGCATTCAGTATGGTATGGTGTAGACTAGAGGATGAATTTTAGGAAAAGAAAGTAATTATGGTGTTTCACTTGAGGTTGCAGAGGCCGTATCCAGGGCTGTGAAAGAAATGTATTCATGCTAGGAGGCATGGTCCACCTTTAGAAACAGGTGGGAGTCAGCTGGTTCTAATGTAGCAAATGAGAACATGTAAGCCATTAAAACAGAACAGTGTTTTGCACGTAATTAGGTACTTGGCAAATTGTTGTGGAGTGACAAGTAGTACATTGAAGTTCACCCTTTGGGTATATATATGCATGGTCATTGTAGGGGACACCATTTGTGGTTTTGTCTTATCCGTCTGCAATTTGTCAGCTCTTCTGAGGTCTCCCTTCTCATAAACAAGAGGAGAATAAGTAGCCATGCTTGTGGGTTCCTCCTTCTCACCTCCTTTTTCTGTCCTTCCTTCTCTCCCATTGTGTTGATGGGTGAAATGTATGCAGTTTATCAAAGCCATGTCAGTCAGATGTTGCATCATCTGGAAATGTGCAAAGACTTAGCAATTCCAGTTCAAGTTCTTTGCTCAAAATGAAGGGATGTGCATTCTTCTTCTAGCCATTCCAGGGCTGCTAATAACAGTGGCTAGAGCAGGGGTGTCCAATCTTTTGGCTTCCCTGGACCACATTGGAAGATGACAAATTGTCATGGGCCACACATAAAATACACTAACAATAGCTGATGAGCTAAAAACAAACAAACAAACAAAAACCTCATGTTTTAAGAAAGTTTATGAATTTGTGTGGGGCCACATTCAAAGCCTTCCTGGGCCGCATGCGGCCTATGGACCGGGGGTTGGACAAGCTTGGGCTAGATGGTATCAGCCACTTTTACTATCTGTGCTGCATCATGTTCAGACCATGGGACAACCTTGGAAAAGAGTTACACTCTTCCAACGGAAATGGAGGCTTAAAGAAGTGTAGTAACCCACCCAGTTGCTCATTTCTACCTGAAGAGTACACAATATAGAAACTTCCATCTCTCACTGGATATTCAAATTCAGTTGTACAAATCATTCTTGTCAGAATGTGGGCTTTGAAATAAATTGGTAATAGTTTTTAACTTAATATTTGTTTCCCAAATGTATTTGGCCATAGTCTCCCCTTTTTTGAAGATGTCCCTATAACTCCTTGAAGAACTACAGTGTTTTGTGGAACATGACTTACGAAATGTTATTAGAGTCATATTGTATAATTGCAGACATAGGTGGAATTCTTGAATTTTGTTTTGCAGGACTTGTTTAGGTAGAGCATTTAATAACTTCTTTTACGTGATGCTTTTCATATACATTACAAATTGTTAAGTATCTCTTATAGCAGAGATTTCTTAGCTCTATTTGTTATGCTTAAAATATATTTTAATTGGTCAATATGTTATATTTTTAGAAAAGTGAGAAAGTCCTAGAGGGTCTCAAGAAAATTAAAGGCTCCTGACATTCCATTAGTTTAGACACTACCCTTGTTTATAGTTTGGTATGTCTTGTAGATTGTTCTTCATGCAGTTATGCATATGTACACGTATGGTATATTAAGTGGATCATATTATATTTGCTGCTTTATAATCAACATTTTTTTCCTGCAACTCTGTATCCTGTCCTATGTCAGTTCACCGAATAGTAGAGCTTTATGCCTAAGACTGTGATAGGTGATAGGAAAGTACACTTAAAGGACATTTCAAGGCAGCATTCATAGTGATATGCAAAAATAAATTTCCTTGAATTTTTGGGTGGGGGAACTTACAAGATTTTATTCTTATGAAATATGTTACTGCTGTGTCAACACTTTGAAAGAGAGAAATTAATTCAGTCTTGTGATTGATACACCAGAGTGGCTTTGGCAATTGGTGGCATGACATCAAGTACAAGTAGGGTTCCAAACAGCCTGTTTTATCGATCTTGTTGAATACTTAGCTCTCTGACAAGCTCTAGCATGGATATAGTTTTTTTTTTTTACGTTTTCATTATGCAAAATTTTAAGCAATGGAAAGACAAGTAGTGTAGTGAACTCTAATTTACCCATCACCCAGGGTCAGCATTGCCTCTCTCCTTTCAAGAGGGAACTCTCTCATTCCCCATTGCCTCACTTCACCTTTTGCCTCCCAGATTATTTTAGAATCAAATTCAGACATATAATTTCAACTGTAAATATTTTATTAGCTATCTCTAAAATAGAACTCTAATGATAACGTGTTTGTGTTTTAATATCTAGAAAATTATTTATCCTCAAATATGTTGTCAGTGTTAATAGTTTCTCTGGTGTCTCATTAATATGCTTTTAAAATAATTTGTTTTAATGAGCATACAAATGAGGGTCATCTACATTGTAATTGATAGATCTCTTAAGCCACTTCCCAAACCTCCATTTCTCTTTCTTGGCTTCACTGGGTGATTTGTCTTGAATTCCTGTGGATTTTGCTGGTGGCATTTTCTTGGTGGTGTTTAACATTTATCTCTGTTCCCCATATTTCTTGTAAATTGGTAATGACAAAGGTTTAGTTAAATTCAGCTCTCCCACCTTCTCTTTCTCATTTCTGTTCTTTTTTGAAAGAATATTTCATAACTAGTGTTTTGATGGTAGTACATAAAGTCTCATTTCCTCTCTGTGATTTTAGCAATCATTGTTGATTGTTTTCTAGGTCCTTTTTTTCAGTGGGAGTTGCAGAATAGCTATATTCTGTTTCTTCATTCATATTAGCTAGATACAGTTTTTATCAGAAAGGCGGAATAAATGTTTAATTCTTTATTTGCTAGTTTTTAAATAGTGAATTGGTTCCCAAGAATCCTCCAGACTGAAAGAATGAGTGTTTCCCTGCCCCCCGCCTTTGGGTATCACTACGAATGCATTTAAACAGTTTTATATGTTTCCGTTCATTGAAGATATTATTTTTAACTGGCGCTCAAGTTGTTTGGCCATTGGAGGGACTTCTTCACATTGACTTCTAAATCTTTTCAACATAATCCTAGTAGATGGGAATAGTAACTTTGCCGTCTAGTGTAGTGTGATATGACAGTCTGCACTCTTGTGAGAATTCTTCCTCAGACTTGGAATCAGCCAATTTTTTAGGGAAGCTTTGTTAACAAAAAGTGACAAAAAAAAAGAGAGAGAGAGAGAAAGAAATAGTGCAGAGATTATAGTCTGGGCTCTAGTGATTCTCATTATTGTAGGCTTTTCAGAGCTGTGAAATACACACGAATATTTTCACAAGCTCATTCTCATTAAATTTAGGACTATAATGTTTTTATTTAATCTTCTATCTGTATCTTATTTTCTCACTGAAAATTCTGGTTCCTAGTGACACAAAATAATGATTCATTTGCTTTATTTCAAAAAAGGAATACAAAGCAGTCTCAGAATAACTATAACCACTACTACCAGTGATACAGTTGGTGACAATTTTACACTGAGCTCTTACTATTTTGAGGGTATATCCACTAGATACAAGTTACCATCTCTTAAAGCAGCTGGAATAATTTTTACTATGTAACAGTTGTGCTAGTATATAGATCCATGGTTAGGTTCATTTGTTGCACTTGATTTTCTAGTTGTGGAAATTGCATAAAATATTTTCCTGTTTTCTACCTTAGAATATTTACATGGTTCCAAAGCAAAATATGCAAAGCAGAGAATTTTTATAAAGTATGGCTTTCATCTCAGGCCCATTTATTTACCTAGTCCTCCCTTGCTGTTTGGGTAGATTTTTTATTTTTAGTTTTTGGTTTATCCTTCCATTTCTTTTTTTTTTTTTTTTTAAACATAAACAGTTATGTAACAGTTTTGTGTGTGTATCTGTGTATAATTTCTCACTCTTCATAGATTATTATACTCTCAGCACTTTTTAATACCTTTATTATTTATTTTCACTTAATAGTATATTGTGGTCATTTAATGGGAGTGTATAAAGAATAGCCTTTATTCGTTTTTTTTTTTTTTGCCGTTACAAAAAGGTATAGTGCTGTGTTGAAAAGTGTTTCTTGAAGTTGCTAGTTTATGTTTGAATAGAATTGTAGAAGCAGGATCGTGTGTGGTTTTATTAGTTAGTGCTAAATTCCTCCGTCTTAGGGTGATGGTTTGCGTTACCATCAGCAGTGTATGAGAGTAGCAGTTTCCCCCCAGCTTCACAAAACTTTGCTCTGTTGTGCAGGAGATTGAGCATCTGTTAAAGGCACTTTCAAAGAAGTTATGCTGTGTGTGTGTGTGTGTGTGTGTGTGTGTGTGTTGTGTGTAAAAGTCATTACTGTTATGAACACTGTTACCACCTTCAGTTTCCCAACTATTGTTTGTAGTGCGTTTTTTAATATTCTGACTGAAGCAGTTTATAAATAATGGTTAGACTTACTTGAAATGGTACCATTACAACATGTCTTAAGGCACACTAATTGTAATAACTTCTGGCTGGGCTTAAGAAACTACTTCTTAAATGTTTTTAAGTGGAAATATGCTTTGATTTTTCTGTAAGCTTAACAAGCTTTTCTCAGCTAGGGTTCCTCATCTGAACCACAGAAAATAGGAATTATTTCATTTTATTAAAGATGACTCATCAAGAGAACCATTATAGTTACACAGGAGAGAAGTTAACCACATATAATTTTTATGTCTTGGGCTGGGCATTGAAATTTGATTCTCATGTGGAATTCTTAGTTGAGAAAGGTGTACCCTGTGAGAAATGGTTTTTTTCTCGCATTTTATATTACTGCCTCTCCATCAAACCATATATATCTCCCCCTCTTCCTTCAGCCTCCCTTATTGGTACCATTTGACGAGATGATTAGGGAGTAGGAACTGTTACAGGTTGTTTGTTAGAGGGTTAATCTTACAAATTGTATTCTTATCAACTTTCATGAATCCAATTGAATAGTAGAATTCGCTATGAAAACAGATGAGTTGCTTTAGAAAAGTGGCAATGAAATGTATACTCTTGTATAACCTGGTTTAGAGGGAACCTTATTAAGTCATCGAGTCTAAACCATATTTGTGATACTTAATTCCATGATATTTCAGTAAGTAGTACTATAAATGACTGTTAGTCAGTTTTCATTACCTTCTACCATAGTTAATTTAATACAATCTGCGGCAGCAGTTATGTTTTTGAATGCCTGTGATTTTTTACCCTCAAGGAACTTTCACCCCTGGAAGACTGATATATTGACAGTGAACTGATGCAGCGGAGATGATATATACATTGTGCAGGAAGTCAAGAAGTAATGTGTTCTTTGAAGGTTGAAGGTTTTTAAAGGAAGCTGGAGAAGATTGAAGTAGGAGTTTACCAGGCAAATAAGTAAAATGGTATTCTAGACATCAGAAATAGAATCAACCAGGGTATGTTGCTATGTGGATGCTTGGTGTGTCTCAGTGGAAGGTATGGGGCACAGTGGAGTGTTGGTATTGGAGATAAGGCTGAGGTCTGAGGATAAAGGACCATGAACCTTATATCCAAATTTATTTCATTTTGAAAGCAGTGCATTGACACTCTTCTCTTTTAAAGATGAGAAGTTATATGATGTATTAATTGTTTTGGAAAGGTAACTTGACAGTAGTGGAAGAGATGGACAGAAGTGGGAAGTGACTAAAGGCAGAAGACAAATGATCAAGTCTCACACAACTCTGCCTAGAAAGTTCTTTCTTGTGTTAGGATAAAATCTTTGAAACTTCAGTCCTCTGATCTTAATCTACTTTGAATTCAAAACAAATATAATCTCTTAAACTTTAGAGACTTTGACATATTTAATGACAGTGCTTGTCTTAAAGGTGTTCTGCCCTAGCTAAAAGTTTATTGCCTAGTAGCCTTAGTTCTCTTTTTTGTTAAGATGTCATGTGATATGGTGTTGAATTCAACTTCAAAAGTGGTAGATTGGTTTGTTTTTAAAGAGAAAAGAAGACCCGCTATCCTTTTCAGTGCTTTTCAAACTGTCTGTGGTAAGAGACCCACTAAAAAAATTCAATCCATTATATCTTTTGGTGAAATACAATAAAATTAGTTACCAGAGAAGTGGAGTTTTAAAAAGACATATATTTAACCCCATTTAAAACTGTCTTTTATCAAGAGACATAAAATTATCCTGTCAGAATGCTCAAAGAGTTTCTGAACAGGCTTGATTTCTGTACTTGTAGGCTGCACTTCCGGCCGCACTGGTTTAAATGCCAACTGTGACGTGGTATGTTTGTTTCAGGATTGTAAACTAGCTCCCTGGTGTCCCTCCTCCTCTACTTTTGTTCTTCTCACTCCCTCATTTTTTTTTATTTTTTATTTTTTTGCTCTGTGTTTATAAAATAAAATTCATTTTAGATTATTGACTAGATTATTTTTAAGTTTGATTTCTGGTTACATGTTCATTAAGGACTCAAATGGCTTAGCTTTGTTTTAAGATAGAAGAGTACAAAACAGTGCAATAAAGATTAAATGTTTATTTCCGGGTTGATAATATCTCAGTACATTTATAGAGTGGAGTCACTGCTTTTTGCCCATTGTTAAGAAAGATTGGGAAGACTTGAAATAAAAAATTTATTTGAAAATACATTTATTAAAATTTGTGAGACACCCTTTGAGAGGTAAAAAGATGGACCCAATAAGAATAGACTTTTGTTTTTATTAGTAAAGTAATACTTTAACCTGTAAAACTTCATCTCATTACTCAGCCATAGATATAACTCCAGGATGAGTTAATTGCCCATGTCTAATGAAATGAGACGTGAGTCTCAGTGAAAAGGGAGAGTCCATTTTATCACTAGATGCTCTTAATGAGCCTTTTAAAATTAAGTCTTGATTGGATTGCAGTCAATTTCGTTAAGGAATATTTGAGCATCTTGTAGTTGTGTCTTATGTAACATTTTCTTTTTAGAGGATTCAGCTCTCTGTTGACAGAGTGAGTAGTGGAATGTTGCTGATGTGTATTAATGCTGCAGCAATTGATCTTTTCAAAACCCGTTAACCTTAGTTGGAAATAATTTTTCAGTCTAATATATTAACAACAAATTATTAGGCCGTTTCATAAGCCTAGGGAGCCATCCTATTCTATCCTATTAGTTTTAGTTTTCTGTTTATTTCTTCAGTTATGAGAGACCACTATTAAATTATTTTGTTGTTCTTTAGATTTTAAAACATGTAATTGTTAACTCTCGATTTTAAATACCTATAATTTTTAGTTTGGTGTTTTTAAATCACAGGTTGTTATAGGACATAGTTTGTGGGGCTGTGTTTAATGTTTAACAACAATTGTGAATCTCAGATTGTTGAAATTATTCTTCATTTTGTGAATTGTTACGTTTAACTATTTTTAAAAACAGTAATAGAAATTATAGCAGATAGTGAAGAATGTTTTTAAAAAGGTCTGCAAAAACTTAAGATTTTTGGTGAATTAAAATAAGTATAAGGTAGTCTAAATATAGAGGACTAGTCACTTCAAATAGAAAAAAATTTTCTTAAAAAATCTAATGTGAAGAAAATTTGGAGTAATTTTATCTTTGTAACTAATAAGATTAATGTTTGAATAATAATTTGTGTTATCTCAGTAGTGAGATTATTGAATAATAGACAAGTGAGTAAACGGATGCCTATATGGATGCTTCAGGGTGTGTAATATTATCAAGTGTTACAACAGCACATTGTTTAGAACGTTTAAGATTTAAGACGAGTAAGTACTTTAAAAGGAGTCAAAAGAAGTGAAAGCAAATACTGAACCTCATCTTTTATAACATAAAAATGAATTTTTTCTTAATTATGAAAGCCTTTCACGTTTAGTGTAGAAAAAATTTAGATAATTCTGGTATTTTAAAAATCTAATCTTCCCCATTTAGCGCCGTTACTTATGTGTTAATACATATTTTGAGATCTATGTATTTGTGACCTGATATATTTTGTTTAAGTATATTACGTACTAAAAAGTCATCTACAATACTTTTTTTTTTTTTTTGAGATGGAGTTTTGCTCTTGTCACTCAGGCTGGAGGGCATTGGGCAATCTTGGCCCACTGCAACCTTCACCTCCTGGGTTCAAGCGATTCTCCTGCCTCAGCCTCCTGAATAGCTGGGATTACAGGCGCATGCCACCACTCCCAGCTAATTTTTTGTATTTCTAATAGTGACGGGGTTTTAATGTTGGTCAGGCTGTTCTTGAACTCCTGAACTCAGGTGATCCACCGCCTCGGCCTCCCAAAGTGCTGGAATTACAGGCATGAGCCACCGTGCCCAGCCTACAATACTTTTTAATGGTTATAAGTAGCATTTAATTGTACATATGTGTACTGAGGTATATTGTTTGTTGAAGTTTTAAAATAATTGTTTTTACTATAAAAATGCTGTGAAGAATATCTGTACTTTATCATTAAGATAAATGTGACTGGGCTCCATGGCTCATGCTTGTAATTCCAGCACTATAGGTGGGATTCCACCACTGAGGTGGGAGGATCATTTGAGCTTAGGAGTTCGAGACCACCTTGGACCCTTCTCTAACTTAAAAGTACAACAAAAAAAGATAAATGTGTAGAATTGGTTGGTTGAAAATGCATTTCAAAATTGCCTTTCAACTTCACTGTTTGAAATTGTAAGCTCCCTCAGAAAATGAAAATGCTTATGTAACGAATCTTCTAAAAAATCACTTTTTTAAAGGGACAAAAATATAGACAAAAATACAACAAACATACTTCTGGTTAACAAGGTTAAAGCTTATCTGTTTCACTTGTTTATTGCCTAACATTGCTGCCATCTGTAAACCCCCACTTTGTATTTTCTTTTCATCCTCATTTTGAAAAAATAAAAAATTATACATGCAGAATAATTACAAGGCTAACAAAGTGAATTTGTGTATACCTTCAACCTAAATTTGCTGTATACCTTGGCCCTCCATACTGCAGGCCCCACATCCTCCAATTCAGCCAACCACAGATCAAAAAATATTCGGGAGGAAAAATAATAAAAAATAATAATACAACAATAGAAAATAATACAAATAAAAAATATGGTACAATGATTTACGTAGTCTTTGCGTTGTATTCAGTATTTTAAGTAATCTAGTGATTAAAGTATATGGAGGATGAGCCTGAGTTCTGTGCAAATACTGTACCTTCCTATATCAGTGACTTGAGCACTGGTAGGGAGGCGGTCCTGGGACCAATCCCACAGGGATACTAAGGGACAACTGTAGTAACGTTTTGTTCATTTGTGTGTACACACAGTGTTGATTTTTTATTTGGAAGTTCACCTACTTGCTGAAACTTATGTGTAACCCTCAAATCATTACTGGCGACACTTTCACGGTCATTCAGACACGCACACAGTGGCAATAAAAATCTGAGTCACCCAAATGCTCTTTTTTGATATTGAGATAGAACAAGATGACACACCACCACCTTTTTACTTCAGTTCATACACTGTTAAAAAAAGTTATTTTCATGGTCTGCTTAGTGTCACGTTTTGGGTTTTTTTTTTGTTTTTGTTGTTGTTGTTGTTATTGTTGTTTTTGTGTTTTTTGACTGTTTATTATGATTTTGCTGTTTAAAATGTCCCTCAAGCATAGTGCTGAGGTGGTGTCTAGGATTTAGGATTCCTAACAGCAAGAAGACTGTGTGTGATGTGCCTTATGGAGAAAATACTTATGTTAGAGAAGCTTAGTTCAGGCATGAGTTAACTGCTGTTGGCTGTTGAATGTTAAAGAATCATAAGGTGTCTTTTTTTATTATTTATTTATTTATTTTTTTTTTGAGACAGAGTCACACTCTGTCGTCCAGGCTGGAGTGCAGTGGCGCGATCTTGGCTCACATTAACCTCTGCCTCCTGGGTTCAGGCGATTCCCTTGCCTCAGCCTCCCAGGTATCTGGGATTATAGGAGCGTGTCAAAACACCTGGCTAATTTTTCTGTTTTTAGTAGAGACAAGGTTTCACCAGTTGGCCACGCTGGTCTCGAACTCCTGACCTCAAGTGATCTGCCTGCCTCGGCCTCCCAAAGTGCTGGGATTACAGGCATGAGCCACCGCGCTTGGCCTAAATAAGGTGTCTTTGAACAGAAACACATATAAAACTGAATTATGTATTGATGGTTGATGAAAATGTGACCAGAGGTTTGTGGGAACCAACCCTGTATTTCCTTGAGGAGCAGTATTGGCTAATTCAGTGTTCCTGGTGACTTTACCACAAATAATGAGAGTTGCGTGTGTGTGTGAGCATGCGCGTGTGTGTCTGTATGTATGTACATATATAAAATAATTATTACCGTTTGCTGAATCATTTGAGAGCAACTTGCAGACATTATGATCCTTCATCCCTGTCTTAGAGTGCATTTCCTATAACCAAGGACATTCTTTTACATAGTTACTTTATCAAATTCTGAAAATTTAATATTATTACAATATTGTTATTTGATGGACATTCTAAATTCAAATTTTCCAATTTTTCATTAGTTGTAAGTTCTTTCTGATTCAGAATCTAGTCCAGATCACAGATTACATTTATTTGCCCTGTCTCTTACAGTGTAATTTGGAACAGTTCCTCAGACTTTTCATTATCTTTTATAATTTGTGTGTGTCTTTCTTCATGACTAGATTCAGGCCATGCATTTTTCACAAGAATGTTTTAAAAAGTGATGTTGTGTCCTTCTCAGCCATCACATTAGCAGTTAGATGATGTCAATTTGCCTCATTTTTGATGTTGATAACTGATCATTTGGTTAAAGTAGTGTGAGTTATGTATTGTCACCGTAAAGGTAACTTTTTCTCCTTTTAAATCATATCTGAGGAGAAATACTTTGAAACTTTGTAAATATTCTTTCCTAACAAATTTAGGATTGTAATGTCTTTTGTCCAATTTTCGTATCATTCCCTTTACATTTGTTAGTTAACATTTAATTGTAATGAATATATTGTCTGACATTTCTAATAGGTTAAGATCTCTTTCAGTATTACATGTATTCTTGCATATCCCATTCGTTTGCTGATTTTAGAGTCTCTCTCCTTGACTTTTACACTGCTTGATATCTTTACTTGGTTAGATGGTGATAGTAGTGGTTGTGGTGACAACAATAAGTTGATGTTATTGTTAAGGGCTTCAACACACTGAGCTTTGATTTAGGCATTGTTATCAGTCCATGTGAATTAACCCATCTAGTCCTCTGAAAGCCCTATGAGGCAGTTATTGTTCTAATTTTATAGATGAGGAAATGAAGCATTAAGGAGGAGGTAAAGTACCTTCTGTGGCTGGTGAGTTGCTTGGCCCCAAGATATGAACCCAGGCTGGCTTGAGTTTAACTACTACATTGTGCCTTTCCTCTAAGTAGTCTTCTGATTTCCTTATTTCCATTCTTCCGCCCTTTTCTCTTTTCAGCAACCAGAGTGAATTTAAAGAATAATCTTCTAGCATATTTTAATGTATTCAGTTAGAGTCAGGTCTTTACTGTGGCTAAAGGCCCTACGTGGCCTTGTAGCTTGCTCCTCCCTAGAGTTTTCTACTCTTTGCCTCCTCTTTGTGTATTCCTCGAACATACACATGCTCTCATCATAGGGCTTTGGTGTTGCTACTCCCTCTGCCTGGAATACTCTGCCCTTATGTATGTGTAAACTTGATTTATCCCTTTATTTCAGATCCTGTTGAATCTCACTTTTCAGAGAGACTTTCCATAACCACTTGGCCCCCATAGAGTAAACCTTCTTGCCCTTTTGCTCTCTTGTATTTTTCATCTTACCATCAACAGCCCTGACATGTTCTACATATATATTACTACCACCCTCACTTAAGGGAATATGTTCATTGAGAGCAGAATTGTCTCTTTTATTCATTGTTCTGTCCTCAGTAATAGAATTGTACATACCTGCCATGTAGTTGGTACTCAGTAAATATGTGTTGAAGGAAGGAGTAGTTTGTCTTTTAATTTTGCTTATAATTATTTTGCATAAAGACATTATTAATTGAATATTTTAAAGTATATTTTATTGTGGTTTTGTGGATTCTGTCTTTAGTGTTGTGCTTTAAGGCCTTTACCTTGTTCAGTAGTTTATATAGATATTTGCCATTTTGTGCCATCATTAGTTTTGTTCTAGCATTTGTTCAGTTAAATCTTAAATTCTTTTGGAAATTCATTCTCTAGGGGAAGATTGGAAATTTCGCTCTTTATCAATTATTTTGCTGTTTAAAACAATTTTATTGACTTAAAATTTTTAAAATTGCTTTTAATAATTGTATAGTTTACTTTTTTCTGTATGTTAAAAATGAAAAATTCACATTTGAAATTCTTAATTCAGTAGCAAATTTTTTTTAACTTATTAAAGAATTTTTTGGTGCAGTGTTTTAGTCTTTGGAGGAATTTGCTTTTACTGTATAAGTAAGAATTTACTCAGGCAATTAGTTCTATTTTATCTAGATGTGCTATATTTATTACCTAATGACCTAGGAAAAAATAAGAGTAGATATTGTTTGTTAAAAAAAAAAAATCCATGTTTTTGTTAAAACCCTATTACCTTTGTATTTTGATAGCATGCTTAATTTTTCTTCTCAGTATAGCTTTTTGGAAGAGTGGCATTAAGTTTTGATTTGCCTAGGATAGTTTTAGCTATATTTATTGTCTAGTTGTAATTACTAATAGCATCTCCATTCACTTCCAAAACATTCTGGTTGAGATGAAAACTTACATAGTCACCTTCACATTTGGGTGTTGTTTTAGTGTTTGTGACTTCTACAAAACACTAGTGTCATTCTTAAATCTACTTTTGTTACTAGCTATCATGGGATTTGTTAAGGAGTGATACTGCGGCCTTATGAAGTTTTTGATATAAAATTAAAATACTACTTTAAAAATTTCTGTTACTGTATTGCTGTTAGAATAAGAACTAAATTTTGTATGATCCTTGAAGAAAATAAGTTATGGAAAAATATGTAAATCAGTGGATGTTTTTGTCCTCCAGTAGTCTTATTTGCTTATAGGATTTAATTCATGTTCTTCATTAGTTTGCTCCTACCGCAGCTGTGGTAAAAAAAAAAAAAAAAAATGTATATGTGGAAGGTATCCTCAACTCCTTTCTGCCCTCAGTCATTTAACAAATTTGCACAATTGTACAGCACAGATAAAGACCATTCTCAGTGTTAAAGAAAGTTTTATTGGACAATGTTGGTTTAGGCAGAGCAACTTTATACAGAAAATTTGAAGAAATAAAAGTTTGGACAAATAATTCCTGTTTGTAATTTTATGTTTTGAGATAATTTTAAACTTGCAGAATTATAAAAACAGTACAAAGCTCTCCTACACACCTTTCACCTCACTTAGCCATGTGTAGCATGTTACCATATGTGACTCTTGGTGCATTGGCCACCATGTTTGTGTCCCTCATCCCCCTTCACTTTCAGGCCCCTCCCTTCTTCCTTTTGTTCTTATGTCTGTCTCCCTCTTTCCCTCCTCTCCCCTTTTAAGTTGGAGTAATTCCCCAGACTTAGTTTGTTTTTTTCCTCACATTGTTTTGAAGAATATTACACTAGTTTTTAGAAATAATTTTTTATGATTAAAAACTGATTCTAGATATTTGACAGGTTTGTACGTGTGTCTGCTGTTAGAATATAAAACTAGACTCTAAGCGTGCTCATTTTATTTTTCCATTGCCTTTGATATCATATGAATTTAGTTATACAGATGGAGCATCCGAAATGCTTGGGATCAGTAATGTTTCAGATTTTGGGTTTTTTTGGATTTTGGAATATTTGCATATATACAATGAGATATCTTGGGGATGAGACCGAATACTAAACACGAAATTGATTCATGTGCACATAGCCTGAAGGTAGTTTCATACAGTATTTTAAATTTTGTGCACGAAACAAAGTTTGTGTATATTGAACTATCAAAGGGCAAGGGTGTCGACACAGGTATGCAGTTCTACACTGCGGCATCATGTCAGTGCTCAAAATGTGTCATTTTGAAGCGTTTTGTTTTTTTGGATTAAGGATGCTCAATCTGGGCTCAATTACACTGGTTTCAACGTGTTTTGCTGAAAAACTCTTGCAGTATTAAAAATAATTCAGGAATAGTGATGATTGAACTTATTTGACTTCTATTCGTGTTTACCTACATGTATGACATATCTTGGACCAATTTGTAATATTTAGATAGGCCACTGATAAACCAAAGCTAATCTAGACACAGCAAGTGAGTTTTTTTGACGATAAAGAGATGAAGATAGTCATTGACTCATCACTTTTGAGGAATTCTCCTTTGATGATATGATTAAATGTAAAAGAAGAACATTTTATCAAGTTGGCAAGGAAGACTAGGACACTTTGTGACATTAAGTGCTAGGCTTGATTAAATATATGCTAAAACGTGAATTTGTTTTGTTAGCATCACTGACAGTGTACGTTTAGTTTAACATTTAATGGAAATAATTCAACCAAGTCCTTTGTCTCCCTCATACAATGTTTCCAGTATCTTCTGTGTTGTCAATCCTGTCCTCACCTTCTAAAAAATCAAGCTATCTTTATTCCTTTCACATGTTCTACCCACCCGCCACCCCCTAGACTATTCTTTCTTCTACTTTTCAAAGTTTGTTAAATAGTTTAGTAAGTATTTTTTATTTCCTACTCTGGACTAGACACAAAACTGGGAGGTTCTTGCTCTCATGGAGCATAATTTAGGAAGATAGAAGCTAAACAATTAAACGAACAAAGGTAATTTCAGATAGGGATAAGTGCCATGAAAATTATAATAATGCCAGGCAATGTAAGTATGGGCTGGGTGGAAGGCTTTTAACTAGGAGGGCCAATGAAGGACTCTGAGGAAGTTACATCTAAACAGAGACTCTGATGGGTGGTTGACATGGGGAGGTCTGCAGACTGAATGTTTCTGGGTGAAGTTAGAGCAAAAGCTCTCAGTTGTGAATGTGATGGGACTGTCCAAGGAATAGCAAAGTCAGCAAGGGTGGAAAGTGGGAAGAGAAGACGTTTATGTCCCTGTTCATATGCTTCTCTATAGGCTTGGTAAAATTTTATTGGAAGTACCAGGAAGTCAGTTGATGGTTTTAAGCAGAGGGATGATATGATATTTATTTTTAGCAAGAGTTGTCTTTAGCAATTAGAGACATGTATGTGTGTAGGGAGTTGGGCAAGAGTTGAAGGAAGGGGATTCATTAGTTGGCTGTTGCAGTTGTTGAGGCAAGAGATGGTGGCATGGACTGGGAATCGTCTTCAGATTCATTTTATTTCCATGCTGTTAGAATTCTTCAACATTTGCTAATCTTGGCTGAATTTCCAAAGCACTTGTTCTCTAAATATACAATGTAATGTTTATATTTATTGTTTGCTTTTGTTTCCTTACCCAGGCTGTCTTCTTCAGGAGGGACTAATTTATATTTCCAATTTCCTCAATGAAATGTGGACATAATTGGTGCCTACTAAAAAAATTATGTTCTTCCTACAGAATTTTACAGGAAATTTCTTATTTTCTGACGTAGAGGAGCATCAAATAATGCATACACTTAGAAATTTAAATAAACAACTGAATAAGACTTAAATTACAGAATAGAGAAAAAACCAACAAATACTTTATGAATTAGTTGGAGTCGAAGTTAAGGAAAGTTGAATGTAAAACCTAAAAGTAAAATTAATTGCTAAGCTAGAGGCAATATGTGAGCATATTTTGCAAAGACTTTGGTGGCCATATTAGGTTTTCAAGCCACGCCCACACACATAACTGACAATTTTTGATACTTATGAAGTACAAATTCTCCCCTCCAATGTATGCGTGATTCTCCATAGTAACACCCACATGTAGCTTCTGATAGAAACCCACAAAATAAGATGAAAATAGTTTCTCAGTCAAATGGTTGGAATATTTAGTAATACTTGGCAGTATTTTTTATTTTGTTAATAACAGGTGTCATTTAATACAATGACTTTTAAATTATATATTAAAAGAAATTTTTAAAAGTTTTATGGCAAGCTGTGAAATACTCAGATGGATAATGTGAATTAAGGCGTGTTCTTTGGCCACTCAAAGTGCTCCCCACCCAACACTGGCATGGACTGCTCACTAGGTGGCCAAAAGAGATTTCGTTTATGGATGTGTTTTGAATGTTTTAACATTAAAAAAAAAAAACCCAAAGCATTTGAGGCAGAGATTTTTTTAGACAATAGTTGTTTAATGAGCTGCTTGTACATACAAGAGAAGAGAATGGGCCTGATTGCTCACAATCTGATGTTTGAAAAGTATTTTTCTGGATCTTATGCATTTGCATATCTAATTGCTATGTAATCAAAACTAAGTGAACTGTAGCTACTTGAAACTCTAAAATGAAAGGCAATCATCTTACGGGGAGGAGGGAGAACCCCGTTCCATGCAAGCTAGCCTGAATATTAGCATTATAGTCTTCTTGTGTTTAATTATAGGTGTCTGACTGAGCAGTAAATTTATGCTTGTGTAATAAAGAAATGAATGTGACCCTGAAACACCAGCTCAGCTTTGTTGTAACTGAGCATTGGCTTTGAGAGAAGTTAGCATCCATTGTGTATTTTGGTGATAAGGGATTGTGCCAGAATGGCTGTTAATTACGTACTTTATGTGATACAGAAAGTAGTGGTTCTACACTTTCTTTCCACCAGTGACAGCACTCAATTAAAACTTGTATTAAGCAGCTATAATGCCTTTATTTATCTGTTTGGAAGACATGAGGTGAAGAAAATTAACTTTATTTTTTCCAGCTGTTTGTTGGCAGCTTTGTTTTTGGTAAATCCTTTGAGGATAAAAAACTGTTTGTTATGTGTCCTGTATGCTTTCATAGACTAAATATTTTATTTTTTGCTGCCTCACAAAAAGGTTATTAAGAGATATTTTATATTCTTGCCGGGCATGGTGCCTCACACCTGTAATCCCAGCACTTTGGGAGGTTGAGGTGGGTGGATCGCTTGAGCTCAGGAGTTCAAGACCAGACTGGGCAACACAGCGAAACCCCATCTCTACAAAAAATACAAAAACTAGCCAGACATGGTGGCCTGTGCCTGTGTTCCCAACTACTTGGGAGGCTGAGGTGGGAGGATCACTTGAGCTGGGGAGGTGGAGATAGCAATGAGCTGAGATTGCACCACTGCACTCCAACCTGGGTTAAACAGTGAGACCCTGTCTCAAAACAAAACAAAACAAACAAACAAACAAAAATATATATATATGTATATTCTTAATATTGGTTAAATGTCATTTAGAAGCCTTGTAGACTAGTTAAAGCTTTTTATATGTTAACCCATTTGAACCTAATGTTGAGTCAGTAAGCACTTCTCGATGATTTAAACTCTGAGAGAGCAAGTTCAACCTGGACCAAAATTAAGATAAAGTGAATGTTTATCCCCCTGCCCCCCACCTAAAATTTTTGTGCTTCATAAAGGGGCTCCATTGTAGGTTGAATCTAAGAGAAAAATAGTGATTGTATTTATGGCAAACTTGAAATTTATATTATCATTTTGAACTTATTTTATACATGAACTCACTAATTTCCACAACTGTTTATTTGGTGGTATTCCATGGTATGTATTTGCTGCATTTTCTTCATCCACTTTACTGTTGATGGTCACCTTGGTGGTTCCATGTCTTTGCTGTTGTCAGTAGTGCTGTGATGAACATGCAAGTTGCATGTGTCTTTTTGGTAGAGTGGTTGTTTTCTTTCGGATGTATACCCAGTAATAGGATTGCTGGGTCAAGTGGTAGTTCTGAGTTCTTTGAGAAATCTCCAAATTCTTTTCCACAGTGGCTGAACTAATTTACATTCCCACCAACAGTATATAAATGTTCTCTTTTCCTCTTAGCCTCAACAGCATCTATGTTTTTTTGCCTTTTTCGTAGTAGCCATTCTGACTTGTGTGAGATGGTATCTAATTGTGGTTTTTATTTGCATTTCTCTGATGATAGTAATGTTGAGCATCTTTTCATGTTTGTTGGCCCCTTGTATTTTTTTTTTTTTTTTTTTTTTTGAGAAGACACTTCTCAAAAGAAATGAGATGAGGCTGGTCTCAAACTCATGAGCTCAGGCAATCCACCTGCCTCTGCCTCCCAAAGTGCTAGGATTACAGGCGTGAGCCACTGCGCCCAGCTGCTAATTTTTGTATATAGTGAAAGATGTGGGTCTAATTTCATTCTTCTGCATGTGGCTAGCCAGCTCTCCCAGCACCATTGATTGAATATAGGGGGTCTTTTCCCCATTGCTTTGGCCCACTTTTTAATGGAGTCGTTTTTTTGCTTGTTGAATTGTTTAAGTTCCTTATAGATTCCAGATATTAGACCCTTGTTGGATGCGTAGCCTGTGAATATTTTCTCCCACTCTGTAGGTTGTCTGTTTACTGTCCTGATAGTTTCTTTTGCTGTGCGGAAACTCTTTAGTTTAATTAAGTCCCACTTGTCAATTTTTGTTTTTGTTGCATTTGCTTTTGAGGGTTTAGTTATAAATTCTTTCCCAAGGCTGATGTCCAGAATGATGGTTCCTAGGTTTTCTTCTAGGATTCTTACAGTTTGAGGTCTTACATTTTAATCTTTAATCTGTTTTGAGGTTTTTTTTAAACTGTTATTTTTTGGAGACAGAGTCTTGCTCTGTCACTCAGGCTGGAGTGCAGTGGCTCGATCTTGGCTCACTGCAACTTCCGCCTCCTGGGTTCAAGCAAGTCTCCTGGCTCAGCCTCCTGAGTACCTGGGACTACAGGCGCCCACCACCACACCGGGCTAATTTTTTTTTGTATTTTAGTAGAGATGGGGTTTTTCAGTGTTGCCCAAGCTGGTCTCGAACTCGTGAGCTCAGGCAGTCTGCCTGCCTCTGCCTCCCAAAGTGCTAGGATTACAGGTGTGAGCCCCCACCCCCAGCGGTTAATTTTTGTATATTGTGAAATTTGTGGGTCTAATTTTATTCTTCTGTGTGTGGCTAGCCAGCTCTCCCAGCACCATTTATTGAATGGGGGATCTGTTCCCCATTGCTTATTTCTGTCAAAATTCAGATGGCTGTAGATGTTCTGGTTCTCTATTCTGTTCCATTGGTCTTTATGTCTGTTTTTATACCAGTACCATAATGTTTTGGTTACTGTAGCCTTGTATTATAGTTTGAAGTTGGGTAATGTGATACCTCTAGGTTTGTTCCTTTTGCTTAGGATTGCTTTTCCTATTTGGGCTCTTTTTTGGTTACATGTGAATTTTAAAATAGTTTTTTCTAATTCTGTGATAAGTGATGTTGGTAGTTTGATAGAAATAGCGTTCAATCTGTAGATTACTTTGGGCAGTATTGTCATTTTAATGATACTGATTTTTCCAATCCATGAGCGTGGGATGTTTTTTCATTTGTTTGTGTCATCTCTGGTTTCTTTTAGCAGTGTTTTGTTTTGTAGTTCTCCTTACAGAGATCTTTTAACTTCTTGGCTGGATGTATTTCTAGGTTTTGAGGGTGTGAGTTTGGCTGTCGTAAATGGGATGCATTGGCTGTCAGCTTGAATGTTACAGGAATGCAACTGATTTTTGTACATTGGTTTTGATCCTGAAACTTTACTGTGAAGTCATTTATCAGTTCCAGGAGCCTTTTGGCAGTCTTTAGTGTTCTCTAGGTATCAAATCATATTGTTAGCAAAGAGAGATAGTTTGACTTCTTTTGCTATTTGGATGCTTTTTCTTTCTTTCTTTTACCTGGTTCATCTGGGTGGGACTTGCTCCTCTTCTTTTTAAAAATGTTTATTAGCTCTGAATCCAAGCATACTATTAAACCCATTTTAAAAACACTGCTTACACTTCTTTGCCTTCTGAAAACCATGTTTCCTAATATTTTGAGGAAAAAATGGGTGTCCGGCATTCCAGCAGCTCCAGCTCTAGCTGTAGCTTAAAGGGCCTGAGGTACAGCTTGGGCTGTTACTTCAGAGGACACAAGCCCCAAGCCTTGGGAGCTTCCATGTGGTGTTGGGCTTGTGGGTGCACAGAACACAAGAGTTGAGCTTTGAGAATCTTTGCCTAGATTTCAGAGAAAGTATGGAAACGCCTGGATGTCCAGGCAGAAGTCTGCTGCAGGGGCGGACCCCTCATGGAGAACCTCTGCTACGGCAGTGCAGAAGGGAAATGTGAGGTTGGAACCCCCACACAGAGTCCCCACTGGGTCATGGCCTAATGGAGCTATGAGAAGAGGGCCACCATCCTCCAGACCCCAGAAAAGTAGATCCACTGACAGCTTGCACTATGTGCCTAGAAAAGCTGCAGGCACTCATTGTCAGCCCATGAAAGCAGCCGAGGGGACTGAACCTTGCAGAGCCACGGGGACAGTGCTGCCCAGTGCTGTGGGAGCCCATCCCTTGCAACAACGTGTCCTGGATGTGAAACATGGAGTCAAAGGAGATTTTGGAGCTTTAAGATCTAATGACTGCCTACCCGGGTTTTGGACTTGCATAGGGCTTGTGGCCCCTTTGTTTTGGCCAATTTCTCCCATTTGGAATGGGAACATTTACCCAATGCCTGTACACCCATTCTATCTTGGAAATAACTAACTTGTTTTTGATTCTACAGGCTCATGGGAGAAGGGATTTTCCTTTTTTCAGATGAGACTCAGACTTTGACTTTTGGGTTAATGCTGGAATGAGTTAAGACTTTGGGGAAGTAACTAGTGGGATCTTATGGATGGTTATGAAATGTGAAAAGGACATGAAATTTTGGAGGGGTCAGGGGCGGAATTACATGGATTGGCTCTGTGTCTCCACCCAAATCTCTTCTTGAATTGTAATTCCCATGTGTTGAGGGAGGGACCTGGTGGGAGGTGATTGGATCATAGGGGTGGTTTTCCCCATGCTGTTCTCGTGATAGTGAGTGAGTTCTCATGAGATCTGGTGGTTTAAAAAGTGTTTGGCAGATGTGTTCCCACCCCGCCCGCCTCCATCACCTTGTGAAGAAGGTGCTCTTTTCCCCTTCCACCATGATTTTAAGGTTTCTGAGGCCTCTCCAGCCATGCAGAACTGTGAGTCAATTAAACTACTTTTGTTTATAAATTACCCAGTCTCAGGTGGTACCTTTGTAGCAGTGTGAGAGCTAATAGAGGTATCAGAGAGATTTTCATTATTCTTGTGAGATTTTCCCAATTGAATTGACATTTCAGTTGTTGGTCTGTTGAATAATGAATGCACTATAAAAGTGGTTGTTAAAATTATGATAAGGGAACAAGATCAGTCAGTAAAATCCATGTATGGGAGTTTTATGATTAAGAATATTTCTGTATTTTGTACAGGACATCTGTAACCACAGGAAATTGCATTGTACAAATGAAGAAGAATACCCTTTTACATCACATGATTTGTGATATCTGGAAAATCTCCCAAGCACCTGGTTTCTGGATTTTATTTAGATTTTTCAATGTATTTTCTAAGTCTTAGGCAATATTTTCAGAAAAGTTAGTTCTTTCCTACTCCTTTGATCCTATAACTTAGCCACATCATTACTTAAGCACTTAGTCTGCTATAGTGGATTACAGAGTTCTTTAAGAGTTGTAACTCTTATCTTAACCACTATAATGTGCATAGTGCCTGGCACATTGTAGACACTTAGGAATGCTTACCATGACCCTTAGTATTGTATATTTGAGTTAATTGCTAGAATTTTTAATATCTCCTATTGAATTTATTAATACTATTTTCATACATAAGTACACCCCTTTCAGTGTTGTGTTTTAAGATTATATTACCCACTTCATTCCTCCCATCCCTCACTCTCACCCACCAATGGCAACTTTGATTAACATGTTTGTGTATAGTAATCCTGTGGCCACAAGCACATAGCTGTAAGCAAGGACTGAACTAGAAGACCAACTTGATTCTGCGATGATTAAAGGAAAAATGGCTAGGAAATTGACTTTGAACATGAGTAATGGGCATTGAAGCCAGTCTCACAAGAGTAAACGATGCTTTGGGTGTGCTGTATCACCTGTGAATACAGCCTAAAAGTTATGCCTGTCACCAAGGAAATGTTTCTGGTTGCAGGAGGACTGGAGATAATACTGTAACTAGAACTAGGGCCAAGCTGCCAAATGGCCTGAATACTGGATTATTGATATTTCTATGGAAGAATGGGCTTTGAACTGCCAAAATAAGAACTTGAGGGTTTCTGTTTCCGGTAATGAATGAGTAAATTTCTGTCATACTTAATCCCCTGCAATAAGCAACTCTAAAATATGCACGATAAAAACCAGCTACTCCAAGGAACTCTGTAGGATGAGTGTAAGCAGAGTCTGAAATAGAGTTGGTCCTTGAAGGAAGGAAGTTAGTACACTGAATACTAGTTTTCCTGGCTTTTAGCCTGAGGCAAAGCACATTAGGTGGCACTCATTCCAACCCAGAGAAATCTCTGCTGATGGAGAAAGATAAAAAGAAGGGAAAGAAAAGAGAACGGGAATCCCCAAATTGTAGCTGACCCCAGGATTATATGTGCAGAGTAGACATAAGCATCTCATCTAAAGATGTGAACTAAGACCATAGTTGGCACCTGAGAAACAAAGTGTGCAGCCCTCAATTGAATCAAGATATTGCCTACTACAAAACAAAACGAAAACAAAACCAGAACCAGAAACAAAAGAAAAAAATTCGTCAAAATAATCTAGAATCAGGATACAGTTTAAAATTAAGCTCTGAAAGTAAATCATACTCTCAAAAGAAAATCAGCTGATACCAACCATTACATTTTGGAACTAAGAGACAGATTTTTTGTTTTTGTTTTTTTAAATAGCTGTTAACTAGTCTCATAAGGACAAAATACAGAAAGACAGTTCTTACAGAGAAATAGAAGCAAAAAAAGGAACCAATGGAAAATTTAAAACTGAAAAATAGAATATCTGAAATAAAAAATTCACTAGATGACATAACTGTTGAGGAAAGAGTATGTGAATTTGAAGAAAGAGCAATAGAAATGTTCCATTGTAAAGAACAAAGAGAAAAAAAATTGAGAGGTAGGAATGGCCTGTGAAGTGGTCTGACATATGTATAATTGGAGTCTTAGAAAAAGAGGGTAAATAAGACTGAAAAAAAATACTTGAAGAACTAATGGCAGAAAAATCTCACAAATTTGATGAAAGACATAAATATGCAAATTCAAGATGCTTAAGAAACAGCAAGTAGAATGAACACAAGGAAGACTACACTGAGTTACATCAGAGGGTAAAACTGTGAAAAGCCGAAGATTATAAAGAACCAATCATGAAAGCAGCAAGAAAAAATTACACACCATATATAGGGGAACAATGATATGATTAATTGCTCACTTCTTATCAGAACATGGTAGAGAGCCAGAAGAGAGTAAAATATCTTTTTTTCTTTTTCTTTTCTTTCTTTCTTTCTTTCTTTCTTTCTTTTTTTTTTTTTTATGATGGCGTTTCACTCTTGTTGCCCAGGCTGGAGTGCAGTGGTGCAATCTTGGCTTACTGCAAGCTCCACCTCCTGAGCTCAAGCAATTCCCCTGCCTCAGCCTCCCAAGTAGCTGGGATTACAGGTATGTGCTACCACACCCAGCTAATTTTTGTATTTTAGTAGAGATGGGGTTTCACCATGTTGCCCAGGCTGGTCTCAAACTCCTGACCTCAGGTGATACACCCACGTCGGCCTCCCAGAGTGCTAGGATTACAGGCATGAGCCACCGTGCTTGGGCACTTTTACCTTTTTAAAGATATTTTACTGGCCGGGCACGGTGGCTCACACTTGTAATCCCAGCACTTTGGGAGGCTGAGGTGGGTGAGTCACCTGAGGTCAGGAGTTCGAGACCAGCCTGGCCAACATGGAGAAACCCCAACTCTACTAAAAATTGAAAAATTAGCTGGACGTGGTGGCAGGTGGCTGTAATCCTAGCTTCTCAGGAGGCTGAGCCACGAGAATCACTTGAATCCGGGAGGCGGAGTTGCAGTGAGCCAAGATTGTGCCACTGCACTCCAGCCTGGGTGACAGAGTGAGACTCCGTCTCAGTCAGTCAGTCAATCAGTCAGTCAATCAATCAATGGTAAAAGTAAGAAATTGCCAACCCTGAATTCTATAACCAGTGAAAATATCTTAAAAATAAAGGTGAAAGAAAGCCATTTTGAAATGAAAGATAACAGACAGAACTAATTGCCAGCAGATAAGCACACCAGGTAATGCTAAAGGGAATTTTACAGGCTAAAGAGAAATGAGAGCAGATGGAAAGTTGATTACATAGAAATTTTTACCCTGATACTGGTAAATACCTTCATAAAGAGGAAAATAACCATTTTTTTTGCTCCTTCCCCCTTCTTAATTTCTTTATATTACATATGACCATTTAATAAAGGGGGGGGGGAATAGTATTGTCCTGTGGAGTTTTTGATTCTTGTATGTGTACACGTGGACGTATGTGGTTACAGGTTTCTACATATTATGTGAAACAGTATAATATTGATTGTAAGTAGGCCTTGAAAAGTTAAAGATTTGTATTGTATCCCCTATAGCAATAACTGAAAAAGCAATGCCAAAAGGTATATGTAAAGAGCCTTTAAGTATAACTTAAAAACTGAAATGGAATTATAAAATATATTGAAATAATGTATATATAGATATATTGTTCAAAGTCCGGAAGGGAAGCTAAGGAACAAAATACAGAGGCTACAAATAGAAAAACAGTAGTAAAAATGGTAGATAAACACCTAATCATTCAAAAATTCCATTAAATAGAAATGGAAGAACCACTTCAATTGAATGAAAGAGATTGTCAGATTGTCATCATGGATTAAAAATTAAAAGCAAGGCTGGCTGTGGTGGCTCAGGCCTGTAATCCTAGCACTTTTGGAGGCCAAGATGGGCCAATTGCCCTGAGCTCAGGAGTTTGAAACCAGTCTGGGCAATATGTTGAAACCCCATGTCTACTAAAAATACAAAAAATTAGCTGGATGTGGTGATGCGCATTTGTAATGCCAGCTACTCAGGAGGCTGAGGCAGGAGAATCGCTTGAACCTGGGAGGTGGAGGTTGCAGTGAGCCAAGATCGTGCCACTGCACTCCAGCCTGGGCAGCAGAGCAAGACTCTATCTCAAAATAATAATAATAATAATAATAATAATAATAATAATAATAATAAGTAAACTAAAAAGCAAGCCAAGTGCAGTGGCTCATGCCCATAATCCCAACACTTTGGGAGGCCGAGGCAGGTGGATCACTTGAGGTCAGGAGTTTGAGACCAGCCT
Source organism: Homo sapiens (assembly GCF_000001405.40). Classification (NCBI taxonomy): domain Eukaryota; kingdom Metazoa; phylum Chordata; class Mammalia; order Primates; family Hominidae; genus Homo; species Homo sapiens. Next base: position 163,510,368 of record NC_000006.12, read on the forward strand.
GGCCAACTTAGTGAAACCCTGCCTCTACTTAAAAAATACAAAAATTATCCAGGCATGGTGGCGCATCCCTATAACCCCAGCTACTTGGGAGGCTGAGGCAGGAGAATTGCTTCAACTCGGGAGGTGTGGGTTGCAGTGAGCCAAGATTGTGCCACTGCACTCCAGCCTGGGTGACAGAGCCAGACTTATCTCAAAAAAATAAATGTACAGTTTACAGAGAAATACTAGACACAGGTAAGTTGAAAATAAATAGATTGAAAAGCATATTTTAAGAAAACAGTAAAAGATTGAAGTGACTATATTAATATCAGGTAAAATAGATTGCAACAGAAAAATTTTGTATCAGGTAATGTGGATTCTTCATAGTAACAAAAGTTCATCAGGAGGACATATCAATCATAAGTGTATATTTATTTAATGCAGAATGACTTAATACATGAAAACTGACTAAAGGCAGAAATAGTTCCACAATCAGATTGAGATTTTAATGTAACTCTTTCAGCAACTAATAAAAAAAAATTACTCAGAAGATTTGAAATTTATTATTAGCCATTCTTGATCATATTGATGTTTATTAAACGTTATATCTTACAGCTAGAGAATTCTCATTCTTTTCACATGCATATGGTACATTCACCAAAACAGAGCATGCTGGGCTTTGTACATGCTGGGCCATAAGGTACAAAGGATTAAGATTATATAGAGTATGAATTTTGACCGCAGTGGAATTAAATTTCAAGTATTTGGAAAGTGACACACTTTTTTGTAATCAGTTGGTCAAGAGATGTCAAAGGGAAATCAGAAAATATTTTGGACCGAGTGATTGTGGAAATGCAAGATAACAATTTATGAGATGAAGCTAAAGCAGTGTTTGGAGGAAATTTATATATTTAATTATGTTGGAATAAAACTACAATTATCTAATTTCCTACCTAATTAAACATTTAAAGAAAACAGCAAGGTAAACCCAAGGTAATGTAAAAAAAGGAAATAATAATAAATTCTTGAAATAGAATACGGACAACTAGAGAAAAATAATGAAACTAAAAAGAGTTCTTGGAAAAGTTAGTTAAGATAAAGCTCTAATTAGACTAATCCAGAATAAGAGAGAAGACACTAATTACCAGTATATTTAATAAAATAGGAGACATCACTGTCGATCATATGGACATTAAAAGGCCTTTTAAGAGAATATCATAAACAGCTTTAAGCCAGTAAATTAGACAACTTAGTTGAAAAAAATAAATTCTTTGGAAAACACAAATTATTACCCAGGAGCAATAGAAAATTTTAGTATCCCTATATTGATTAGAGAAGCTGAATTTGCAATTAAAAATTATTCCACCAAGACAATGTGAAGCCTAAATGGCCACACTAATAAATTTTATCAAACTTCAAGAAAGAAATATTGTGAATCTTATGTAAAGTCTTCCATTAAGAAAAAAAAATGAGAATACTTCTTAACTCATTTTATTATAACAAATTGGTAACTACCATTGTTACTGTGATACTAAAATTCAACAAAGATAACAGCAAAACAAAGAATCAGTATTCTTCATGGATATAGATGTAAACATTTTAAACAAAATTTGAGCAAATTAAATTAACGATAAAAAAAGAAGATACTGCATTACCAAGAGAGGTATATTTTGAGAATGCAAGTTTAGTTTTAACATCTTGAAACTAATCAGTGCAGTTAATCATAACAATAGAATAAAGGTGTAAAACTGTATAATTATATCTAGGAGCAACAGAAGTATTTGACAAAATTCAATACACAAAAATGATAAAGCTTCCCAGCAAACTTAGAAGGAAACTTCCTCAGTTTGATAAATTCGCCTTATGAAAAGACATAGTAATATACTCAGCAGTAAAATTCTCAGTGTGTTCCTCCTAAGGTCACAAACAAGCCGAAGATGTTTGATTTTACCCTGTCTATTCCAATTTGTACTAAAGGTCCTAGCAAGTGCAATAAAGCAGTAAAACAAAATAAAAGGCATACAGAATGGAAAAGAAGAAGACTTTCTTATTTTTTAATATAGAAAGTTCTAAAGTATATAAAAAGGTCATTCCAGCAAGAAGAGATCATGATCCTAAGTCTCTGTGTATCAAGTAACATAGCTTGAAAATATATAAAGCAAAAACTACCAGAACTAAAAGTAGAAGCTCAGAAGTCCACAGTCATACTGTTCACACAACTCCTAATAACTGATAAAGAGACAAAAACTCAGTAAGAATAGAGATGGTCTGAACTACACAAGTAGCATACTTCATTTAATTATCTAATTATCAAAAAGAACATTGCATCCAACAATGACACTATTTACATTATTTTAAAGTGTACATGGTACATATTGTCCAGTTGACCACGTGCTGGTCCATAAAGCTTCAGGAAATTTCAGACATCTGAAATTATTCACAGTATATTCTTTAATCATAGTGGAATCGAGCTGGAAATTAAAAACTAAGAGTTGGCCATAAAGGATGTATGTTTTAACTTAAGCATCTGGAAAGAACAGTAGAGTAGATTAAAAGCAAAGAGGAAAAATTAATAAATAGAAAATGTATTGAAAATTATATAGTAGTCCTTCCTTATCCACAGTTTTGCTTTTCATGGTTTCAGTTACCTGTGGTACAGTACAAGATGCTTCGAGAGATCACATTCACACAACTTTCATTACAGTATATTGTTATACTCTATTTTATTGTTGTTCATCTCTTACTGTGCTTCATTTATAAGTTAATCTTTATCATAGGCATGTGTTTATAGGAAAAAACGTAGTGTATATAGTGTTTGGTACTGTCCATGGCTTCAAGCATCCACTGCAGGTCTTGGAACATATCGCTTGTAGATAAGAGGAGGACGACTATATTGATGATTAACTAAAATGAAGGAAGTTTCTGTGAAAATTTACAAATGAGACAAACTTTGTAAAACTGATTAAGAAAAAACAAGTAGAACTAAACTTGATTGTAATTATTTTATGTATCACCAACTTGGTGATACATAAAATACACAAAACAAAAAAGCAGATTAATTGACAGAGAACTTGCAGTTCACAGAGTTTTTATTTGTATATGAATAATATGAATAGGCTTTTTCTAAACTTATTTCGTCCTGTCATTTCATTGTATCCCATGGTATACATTAAAAGAAAAATGTAAGTGAAATTAATTAGTGAATGCCTAAGACTTTTTCGCAGAGTTCAGTATCAGTTTTTAGTCATGTTTTTCACAACATACAGCAATCTATACTACCAGGAATGTTCGATGATGCAGCATTTTTAAAAGAGTGACTTACTATTCTCCTCTAGAATTTCTTCCCAGGCCATTTCAAGTTTTTGTGCACATTGTTGTCAAGAAATGTGAAGCGCCTAAGATTTTTATCTTGTAAGATAAGCTAGCTTGCCACCACAGTTTCATGGATGATGGCAGAAGACCTAGGACTTCTGAATCAGAAGCCATGCTTTATTATTTACAGCAAAAATAGTAGCAGAGTGTTAGCATACTTGCACTGATGCCCTGAGCCCTGGTGTGCACAGGGTAATGCAGAGGCCAGACAACACCTGCTCTTGGTGGGCTGGATTTCAGAAGAGGAGCCCAGGGCCAAGGTCCCCACAATTCTTGAGCAAGAAGCAGACAAGGCAGTCCTCTACCCTTGACCTCCTCAGTTGCATATGTTACTGCAGAAACTGCTCAGCCAGAGGAGATAGATAACCCTTGCACTCTGGCACACTCAGTGGGAACATTGAGGGCTGCTCAGAGCTCACCCAACAGTGGTTAGACAGGAACACCTGTGGCTTACTGCTGCCTAGCTTATGGCATTAATGAGACACATCGGGTTTCAAAAAAACCTTAAAATACTTTTTAAGAAATGTCTTAGAATAGGTGACACACTGTAAGTAAGTGAAATCAAGGGCCAAATTTGAAATACTGTATTTAAAAAATCATGGAAAATGCAACAAACAGCTTTAGAGCTATACATTTGAAAACTGATAATAATTTATTTATCTTAAAGATATGTATTTTCAAATCTATATAGTAAAATCTAGTTAGAAATCCTAACTTTTTTTCTGGTGGAATTTAATGAATTGATTACAGAATTCTTAAGATAGTAAAATTGCCCATTGGTAGTTGGGACAGTTCTAAAAGAAAAATGGAGGAGTGCTTTCAGAGCATTTAATTCTTATCAGTTTCATAATTGTCTGTATGACTGAGGGATAAGCAGGTTGACCAATGGAATTAGACTAAGCTATTTTACTCGGATATGTATGTGTGTATTGTGGAAAGAAAGAGGTAGATGGAGAGAAATTTACATGAGAAGTGGGAAGCGTGAATTTAATAAATGATATTAGGATAGTTGAATTTGCATATGCAAAAATAAATCTTTTGATGGATCACATGCCCAAAAATGAAGAGCAAAAAACTCAACCACTAGAAGAAAACATAGGAGATACATTTATGACTTCATTGTAAAGCAGGATTACTGACTAGAAAACTTATAAAGGAATATCAGTAGCTATAACTACATTGAAATGTATTTTAAAAATCCTTTTTATGCAAAAGACACCATACCCCATTTAAAAGACAAGCCACAGAGTGGGAGTGTATTTGCAACATCTGTAACAAAATGTGTATATTTAGAATTTATTAAAAATTCATTCAAAAACAATTTTAAAAGATCACAAATTCAATTAAAAATGAACAAAGTGTGTGAACAGGCAATTCACAGGGCAGAAAACCTGAATTAAAAATGAACATTTGAAAAGATGCTTTACCTTATTAATACTCAAGCGAATGCACCTTTATATTTAATGAGAATAATGTACCATTTGATGTCCTCAATGTTATCAAAGCTATGTCTAGGATATGGAGAAATATGAACTCCCACACAAGTCAGTGTAAATAGACACAGACATATTGGAAAGCAATTTGGCACTGTCAACTAATAGTGTGTGTTTTTTTTTAAGAAGGTCCTGTTTGTGGAAATTTCATTATGTGTCAGTTTCTTAAGAAACTCTTGTCACATGTGTTTTGGAAGATGGGAATGAGGATATTCACTGCAGGATTGTTTATAATAATAATAAATTGGAATCAGTATAAATGGCCATAAATGGAGAGATGGAAATATAAATTGTGGTTCTTTGTGTAGCAGAATATTTTGGGGCAGTCAAAATGATGAAATTTGATCAAATACACTTGATTTAACACATACTACATCTTGATACTATAACGTTCAAAAGAACAGTTTGAAATTATTCTGTATATTTGATTAGTGATAAAAATATATTGGTGTGTTACAACAAAAGGGAAACTTACATATAATGATATGGCGATAGGTCATTCTATATGTGAAGTGGAATTTCAAGTGATCTTATTTCTAGTTTATTAAACTTTCAGAAAGCACTTTGAATATTGAATATTTGACTTTTTCTGGCATAGGTAATTAGTGACTGTTTTCTATTTAAGATACAAAATAAGTCCAGCAATTGACATTTGCTATGTAATCAAAGCTTTTCACTTTTTATTTTTATCTCAAATCGGTCACCTCTTTGTGGTATAAGCTGATTATTTATCTCTCAAATCTGTCACCTCATTGTGATGTAATCTGATTATTTATCTCTCAAATCTGTCACCTCATTGTGATATAATCTGATTATTTTTAAAGAGAATACCTTTTGATGGGATAGTAACTAAATGTGGTATTCTAGGATGTTAAGGTAAATTAAGATTAATATTTGTTTTGTGGGTCCTTCATTAATGTCTTTCCTTAGGAGTGCAGGCAATTTTTAGAAAATCTAAAGTACATATATGCACACATGACACTCAACAACATACATACATTGTACCCCTCAGTGTCTACCTGTTGCTTGCAACTCAATTATGGGGCCTTTTTTGGGAAAAATGTAGAGTTTCTAAAGCTTATTTTATTTATTTATTTTTTTGAGACGGAGTCTGGCTCTGTCGCCCAGGCTGGAGTGCAGTGGCATGATCTGGGATCACTGCAACTTCTGCCTCCCAGTTTCAAGCAGTTCTCCTGCCTCAGCCTCCCAAATAGCTGGGACTATAGGCGCACACCACCATGCCCCGCTGAATTTTGTATTTTTAGTAGAGACAGGGTTTCACCATGTTGGCCAGGATGGTCTTGATCTCTTGACCTCGTGATCCACCCGCCTTGGCCTCCGAAAGTGCTGGGATTACAGGCGTGAGCCATTGCGCCCAGCCTAAAACTTCATTTTAAATTAAGCTTGAGGGCTTTTATGGTCTTTCAATATACCTTTAATACCTTGATGACTTATTTCAAGAAAGCTTTTTATTTTTCTGGTCTTAACTATTTTCCATATTTATTGGATTAATCTGTTTATTAAATAAAATATGTTTTCATACTGAAATGAATACTACTTGCGTTCTTACTGGTGTAGAGGTGTAGGCTAGAGTATTTGACATTCTGGAATATATTTTAACTTACTTGGCTTTAAAATACTCCTTATCATACTATAACTGTTTTGAAACACATATCATAATGTTAGCCTCTTGGGTTCATGCCATGAGCTATAATTATGGTGTTAGTGCCATAATGGGATGTTATAAGTTTTATTTTAGAATTTTTATGAAGGTGAAGCTTTAAAGAAAAGCTTAACAAGTTTCAACCAGAGAAGCAGTAGGGGACACACACACACACACACACTCACTCTCTCTCTCTCTCTCTCTCTTTCTCTCTCTCTCTCTCTCTCTAGCTCTCTCTAGCTCTCTCTGTCTCCCTTATTATGAGGAATTGGCTTGTATAAGTTCATGCTGACTAGTCTAGAGTCCACAAAGCAGATGGGTAAGGAAGGAAGATCCAGAGGGCACTGTTGTAAACCCAGTTGGTGTTTGGAATATCTGAGCTTAGAAAAGACCAAAGCCCTCTTTTAAAGACTTCTAATGGAATATGTCAGGTTAACCCAGGATAATCTCCCTGTTGATTAACTTAAATTCAACTGATTACTTTTCTTAATTACATCTGCAGAATTTCTCACAGCAGTATCTAGAGTGGTTTTTTGTTTTTTGTTTTGGTTTTGGTTTTTGACACAGTCTCTAGCTCTTTTGGCTCAGGCTGGAGTGCAGTGGCTTAATCTTGGTTCATTGAAACCTCCGTCTCCCAGGATCAAGTGATTCTCCTGCCTCAGCCTCCAAAGTAACTGGGATTATAGGCGAGCACCACCACGTCTGGCTTAGATTAGTTTTTTCTTGAGTAGCTGGGAGAAGGTATGTGTATGCTACTAAATGGCCACTGTTTTCCATTTATAGTCCACCTCTTGAAAAAATATACTTTATAGACCATCCCAACTGGAAACATACAAGAAATGAAATTCTGGAAACTCTAGTTCAGCCTAGTTAAGCTGACACACTGCAAAGGTATCACACCGGATAACTAACTTTTTTCCCTAAATAGTGTCTCTCTTTATTTTGTCGATTGATATTAAAGGATATTTTCATTGATGAGTGAGGGATATAAATTTAGGTGTTATTAGATGATACACAGCTATTTCTAGAAGGTTAAGGTAAATCTGGTAACCTGGTCCTTTTTTGGCTTGTATTTAGCTTATGTTTAGTAAATGGGTTTACCTGCCCCTGCCCTACATATTCTTTGATTTCCTCCCTGGCACCAATTTCATGTGTTTAGTGTACAAACTCCTTTTAATATTTATTGTGAAGGAAAGTGGTAATTCAGGAGGTTTTTGCCAAAGTAAGATTCTAGTTTATTAGAATTTGTGTAATCTAGAGAGATGTCTGATTCTTATCTTAAATGGAAAAAAGCTATAGAAGCTGGCTAGGGAAATCTTGTTTTTCAGGAAAAACTCACATCCACGGAAGGTAGTTGAGTTCATTTCTTTATTTCCTTATTCAACAGACTTCAAAAAAATTTTTCCTTTGTGGTAGGCTGTGCGCTAAGTGTTTGAATATCCAGTCAAAGATAAGATACAATCAATGCCTGCCCTTTTGTAGTCAGGATGGACAGATACAAATTTTAACTAGAAGGGGCCGAGATAAGCAAAATTGGAAATCATGTTTTACATAGATACTGTTTTTTGTGGGTCCATGTTCTTAGTTTTTTCCAGTAATGGGTATAATTGAGAAGAGCCACAGACTCATTTCTAAAGTAGTCATTCAGGCTTCTTGCATATAATTTTCAACACTCTTAAAAACCTTATGAACATTTTAAGGAAGAGAGTATTTTGTACCTTTTTGTGAAGAAGGCTTTATTTTGGCTGTTGATATTAAAAAATATTATATTTCATTGATGAGCAAGAGATACAAATTTAGGTGTTACTAACTGTTGTCATTAAGGTCAAGTTTTATACATGTAAATAAATTGTAGTTTATGAACTGCAGACATAGAGGTTGAGGTTTCATTTATTCTGTAGTAGATTGTAGTAACTACTCTTTCAGCATGATTTACAAAGAAAATCAAACTAACTCAATTTATAGATTGCCCTTTTCCATAGAATGTCAATTTTGTATTTTGGCAAGAATACCTGTGAGGTAAGCCTAGGAGGCACATAACAATTCTGCCATTTCCAACTCTTCCAAAATGTAAATAGGTATTTAGAGTTACACACCTTGTATGGCTACATGAATTTATTTATAGTCTTTTCTTTTTAGAGTAGCATAGCGACAAAAGTAGTCACTGGACTTTCTGTTCAGTGTGAAGATCTGTTGGTATGTGTTCTGCTTTATTAATAAATGTAGAGAGCTGAACTAGAGAGTTGATATTCATTGAACATGATATATCCTCTCCCTTTCCCCAATCAGATTCATTTCACTGAATAAACACCTGAGTATGAAGGTTATTTCAAGAAGTGCTGGGCAGGAATCCTAACCTTCAGTAGCACATAGTACTATGAAATGAAATGATATGTAGACATGCAGAGTTCCTTATAAACATATGTCATTAATAAGAACACATGAGTAGGACTGTTGGAGAAATTCAGGACAAAAGAGCTCTTAAGACAGCTTGACAAAAGGGGACCTCAGAGATCGTGCCAGATTTCCTGTGGGCCTTAAAAAGAGTGGGTGTGATGATATTTTTATGTGGCACAGTGGCGACAGAGATGAAATAAGGAGTCAGATTTGAGTTCAGGTTCTGGGCCTTCTATTTATGGATTGAAGGACGTAAGACAAGTTACTTTTGCTGTTGAAATTTTCACATGTGAAAAATAAGTTAATATCTACCATTCAGGCTTACTAGATATTAAAAGTATTATTTTTAGTGTTCTTTAATACTATTTTAGAATACAGGCAGTTGATAGATCCTGAGGTGTCTATGGTCGTTTTCAAAAAGATGTTTTCTCCAATTATAATGATTACTATTAACATTTAAATTGACCCTTGCTCTCATAATTAACCACAATAATTATTAATGATAGCTTACTTTTTAAGCATTATAGTTATTTTATATAGTTGTTATATAAAGTTTGTTTAATATCTCAGAAAATGTTTTTCATTGCATTCACATTTTAGTGTTGTGATGAATGGCATGTTACATCTGTTTCTTAATTAAGGGGAAGTGGGCCAAAGATATTCTGAAAGAGTAGAGTTACTTTTTGTCTTAGGAAACATGGCTTTAAGCACTAGTGGACAAGTAACGTACCCTTTGAAAATACTTTCTTGTCACCAGTGAAACATTTTAGAGCTGTTATCAAAGACTGAAGCAAACAATTTTTGATTCTATAGTTATATGGGTTGATAATAGGGAGAGGAATTGAAGAATTTCAATTTAGCACCATGTCTCTGAAACTTGAACATACTTGAAATGATTTTTAATGAAGGAATAAAAACATGGATTCTCTGAACTTCTATTTTGTATTTCTCTGAGAGATTACTGTTTTCTTGGCTGATGTAGTTGAATTCTTAGGTGTTTGCAGTAAAGTATAAGATAATAAAATGGTTAACGTTTAACAAACTCATCATTATAACACTGGATAATGTATAGAATATGTAAAAAATGGCATTTATTAAAAAAATCATGAGTGTAACAGTCTAGGTTTTAGCTAGCAAGAAGTTCAGGATTTTTTTTAAAATAGTGTTTGGGGAAATTATAAATGTCGGTTGCATAATTGTAATTCATGAAGGAAGACATTCATACAGCTATTTTTTACCTGTTTTCAAAACTATAGAAAAAAAAAGGTGGTACGAGATTGTCCTAAGAATTATCCTATTTTAGCTTGACTACCACCTATTAGCTACAAGGCTTTGCAGTGGTGCTGTTAGCTAGGTTCATATGACCTATGTCCAAATCATGCTGGCAACATCATTGAAGAATGATTTTTTCAATGCTTTCAAGTTATTAACATATTTGAATGTACATGTCAGTCTTACCCAAAGGAAGTGAAAATAATTCAGTATCTTCAAGAAAATGGAAAAACTGCATTATTTAATATACTCTGCTGCATTAACTATCACTTTTTATAGTTTTGCTAATCAAATTATGATGAAGGGTTATGAGAAATATATCACTTTTTATAGTTCTCTTGTTAGCCAAATTTTAATGAAAGATTGGAAGAAAAGTCTAGGATTATTATGGGTTTTGGATGACAGAGGTGATGTAAGTGTAGGAGAAATGTATGCCTAGAGGACCTAAAGTCACCTAGTTTTTCTAATGACGTAAAATTACCCTTGGTTTTTTTCTGCTGAGAAGAATGGGTGTGTGAAATACACGTTAATACTTTGGAATTTAAGTGAAGAAAGAACTCCATTTAATACACTAAGCATTTGTACCATCTAGTATTATATTTTTAATCTGCATCAGACATTATGTCATCCGAATATCAGCCCATGAGTATAGAGGTATGCTCTTCTTAGTAGCTATACCTGCTGCCACCTGACTGTGCACAAGGAGCACCATGCTTTGGATCCTTCCCTATGGGAATCGCTGGGATGTGTTGTAGATACCTGTCTATATATTTTTCAGTTGAAATTAGAAGGATAATCTTACAGATATTTAAATGTGTTAAACCTTAAATGTAACAAATATTTTAGATTAACATATATAGACTATTAACATTGTGTTTGATTCGCTCTTATTACTCTAATCTTAATTCTAGAACTTTCAAAGGTTGAAAGTCATTACCAAGAAAAAAATCATGACATCACAAATAATTTGGGGCAGGCAGTTAGATATATATTTTTTGAGACAGAAACTCACTCTGTCGCCCAGGCTGGAGTGCAGTGGCATGATCTCGGCTCACTGCAACCTCTGCCTCCTGGGTTCAAGCGATTCTCCTGCCTCAGCCTCCCGGGTAGCTGGGATTACAGGCGCATGCTACCATGCCCAGCTCATTTTTGTACTTTTAGTAGACAGGGTTTCACCATGTTGGCCAGGCTGGTCTTGAACTCCTGACCTCAAGTGATTTGCCCACCTCAGCCTCCCAAAGTGCTGGGATTACAGGTGTGAGCCACCATGCCAGGCCTGTATTTTTTAACCCAGAGGGATCATTGATTAATTGCTAATTTATTTTTTACTCTGGCTTTGATTTTGAGGCTTCTTAATTGAGGAAGCGGGATGTGCTTATGCTTGATTATGTTAATATAATGACAGAAAGGACATCCTGCAGTGGAATTAAGGGGAATCCCTGTTAGCTGAAAAGCCATTTTTTAAGGAAGATACAGGAAAGAACAGAGATAGGAGTTACATAGTAAAAGTGTTAAGTATTATGAACTAGTCACTGTCTTCAACATACTTTCTTTAATTCTTGCAACCTTGTAACCTTTACAGATGAGAAAATAAGATTTCAAAAAATAGTTAACATTTTGTCATATAACCTTGATCAGTCAACCCTCATATGTGCTTTTATATAACACAGTGAACTTTGGTGTCACTCCCTCAATTGCAAATAAATAGTTACTAGTCTGTAGGCTCCTTGAGAGCTTGCATGTCTGTTCACTTGCCTGTCATAAACCTTGTTCACTCACAGGGTGTAGTAGAAACTCAATTATTATTTATGTATTTATTAAATAAATAAATGAATACGTGAGTGAGTTGCTCAAGATTACAGGGGCACTGAAATAAGACTGGCATTTGAGTCTGTGTTCTTTCCCCCACTCTGTTTTCTACCCTTGTCTGGTTTTTAGGGGTTATGGAGTGTGGGGAGAGGCCTTTTTGTGCGTTTGTTTTTGAGTAACCAGTTCTTTTCATTTTGTCTCTATTCTCCAGTGAGCAAATGAAAATTCAGGGTTTGGAGCAAACTTTTAACGTTCTGATTATCAGTCAGCAAATATGAGTACTGGATAAGTGTTTAGCATTGTGGTAAGCCCCATGGAATTATAAATTATGTGCCTGTTTCCTTGCCGAGGTTCTCAAAGTTCATTTATGCCAACATAGCTCTTCCATACACACATAAATACGTATTCCTGAACATCGTCATAAACTAGGGTCATTATTCTACACAGTTGTGTTTTTGTCACTGCTTTTCAGTGATGTGTGCACGATTACATGAAGACAGCTGTGAATTAATATTTGGGGAGTACGAACACTGCAGCTATCCACGGTGCCGTTAGGTTGAATAGGACGTCGCAACCTACCAACTACAAATGATGGAACCTCCTGTTAGTCTTGTATCTTAACATTCCCAGGATGAAACACCTTTTATAACGTAATGAGCTATGTGCTGTTGTTCTCTTACATTTTGGAAATCCTAATATATAACATTAGGCTGTGATCTTTTGCTCGATGAGGAAGTAAGGCAGACTGTATGTGGATCCTTCAGCATAATTCTTACTTTGCTTGTGGTTGTAGATTATGGGACTCTGGTTCAGTTCTTTAGTTTTGTGTTTTTCATTTTAATTTCACAGAAGGCAGGTAAAATACTCTCTTTCAGTGTTGCCTGACTGAGTTTTTAAAATAAATCTTGAATTTTTCAGGTATTTATTTTCCCTAACTAATGTAGAAAAATACACATGTGGAATGCACGAGAAAGCACCATATGGCTTAGGAGCTTAGTAATCATGTAATCAGTATATTTTATGTTACTTGCTATTTTCAGTTTATAATCTAGGAATATTAAGAGACAATAATAAATGTCTTTTAAGTGCTTACTATATGCAAAACATTTTGGTAGATATTTTAGGGAAGTGGTTTCTTATATAGAAGGACAGTTTAGCATTTGTTTAATAAATGCATAATTACAGAAACCATGGATTCCATAGTTCCTTTTAAATGAGTTTGTAGTATGTTAATTATGATAGTATGCATATATGTTGAGAAACTAGTATATTTGTATTTGACATGATTTCATTTGTAGAATTCAGAGCTACTTTGTTTATACATATGTGAGACAAATACAGAAATTAATATTTTAAAAACTGATGAAAATATCATAAAAGATGTGCAAGTTCAAATCTGGGCAGGGCAGAAGAGAAATAGAAAGCTACTGGTTGTGTACCAAACTTTTCTTTTTAGATGCCTTGTGAATAATACAAAAAATTAAAAGGAGCAGTCTTTGCTTTCTAGAGCTTACCATTATGTACACTGGAATATTAAAGTATGATCTTAAGTATCATTTTAGAGCCATAAGATTCGATGGAAGCAAAGTGGGGCTTAGGGAGAATGAATTTGGATAGAGTAGGGTAGTGGAAAACAGTTAAGGAGTAGGTAGTATTTGAACTCATTCTTCAATTTCATTAAGTTTTTATAAATTCCCTTTACTATTCGTTGTCCATTTTGTGTACTGCTTGTGACATACTAATAGTCACGGTTTATCCCACTTTCCAGGAAACTGTACCGGTCGTCCTTTACGTATCATTTCTAATCCAAATGCTTCATGGAGGGCAGGGTTAGTGTTTTGATCAGCTGAGCTGTCTTCCAGTCTGAAACCCAAAGATTACAGTTGTGTCTTTATTAAGCTTTTTCTTAAAAAATGTATTTAAAAATAATTTTATTTTCATGTAATGGTTAATATATTTTATTAACTAAGTTGGTTAAAAAATAAATTATCTTAAGCTACTCTTTTTATTCTGAAAATACATTTCCAATTTTATTTTTCTAAATTATAACCGCTAGTCATGTCATTTTATTTGTTGTTCAGTCATCCCTTCCCAGTATTTCTGTTTAATTTTCTTTTTTTTATTTTTTGAGATGGAGTTTCGTTTCGCTCTTGTTGCCCAGGCTGGAGTGCAGTGGCGTGATCTTGGCTCACCGCAACCTCCACCTCCGAGGTTCAAGCGATTCTCCTGCCTCAGCCTCCCTAGTAGCTAGGATTACAGACATGTGCCACCATGCCCGGCTAATTTTGTATTTTAGTAGAGACGGGGTTTCTCCATGTTGGTCAGGCTGGTCTTGAACTCCCGACCTCAGGTGATCTACCTGCCCCGGCCTCCCAAAGTGCTGGAATTACAGGCATGAACCACCACGCCCGGCCTTCTGTTTATTTTCTACGATCATCTATTCTAGATTCTAGCCTGTCCATACCATATTTACATTATGGTAATATTAATTTCAGAGCTCTTAAATGACGGGTACTCGTCCATGTGCTATCCGAACACTAACATTTAAAACTCATTGTAGCTCTGAGATGTAAGTACTATCTTTATGTCTCTTTTGTAGATGAGGAAACTGAAGCATAGATAAATTCAAGCATTTTGCCTAACACTAAACAGCTATTAAGTGGTTAGTAAGTGTGGTATCATAAATTCCTTAGAGTATCAGAAAATGAATATTAAACATTCGCATTTTAAAAATCTTATTAACAATTGTTTTGTTTTGAATCTCTGGGATTTATACCTAAATAAAATTCCCTCTGAAGAATGGAGCATTTGCACAGTGAACCATGTGCTGCCACTCTCAACATCAGTACATGAACCTGTTACTGACCTTTGCTTGAGACAGGCTATATCTGGATTTTTCAAAACATCTTGTTTCCTTTTTTTTTTTTTTCCTGTTCTCTCTCTCTCTCTCCCCTCTCTCCTCTTTTCTCTCTCTCCTCTCTCTCTCTTCTTTCTTCTTTCCCTCCCTTCCTTTCCTTTCTTTCTTGACGGAGTCTTGTTCTTGTCACCCAGGCTGGAGTGCAGTGGCACAGTCTTGCCTCACTGCAGCCTCTGCCTCCCGAATTCAAGCAGTTCTCCTGCCTCAGCCTCCTGAGTACCTGGGATTACAGGCGCCTGCCACCACACCTGGCTAATTTTTGTATTTTTAGTAGAGATGGGGTTTTGCCGTGTCGGCCAGGCTGGTCTCAAACTTCTGACCTCGTGATCCTCCCCCCTCCCCGCCTCGGCCACCCAAAGTGCTGAGATTACAGGCGTGAGCCACCACGCCCGGCCATCTTGTTTCTTTTTATTGTTTTCAATGAAATAATTGTAATCTTGATTATGTTGACTTTTAAGTATTGTATTTAGCCTTTCTTCTTAATAGGTAGTTGTCAGGTCGTCAAAGGCAGACGAGTGTCATCTGAAGTCGGTTTAACTGAGTACATTGAGTCAGGT
Source organism: Homo sapiens (assembly GCF_000001405.40). Lineage (NCBI taxonomy): Eukaryota > Metazoa > Chordata > Mammalia > Primates > Hominidae > Homo > Homo sapiens. The sequence goes on from NC_000006.12 coordinate 163,525,827, forward strand.
TTCTGCCCATTAGTTTATCTCATTTTTAAATGAGAAATAGGTGATTATAATAATGCCTACCTCTAAGCTTATTAAAAGGATTAAGTTATTTTATGAATATCAAGTACTGAGTGTAAAGCCCTATATGTTTTTTGTTTGTTTGTTTTAGTTGATATTGACCACACTAACTTTATTTTTGTATCTCATGCTGTGCTCTAAGGAGCACTTATTAGAAAGTCTGTGCTGAAAGATATGGAGATGAGTCTGATTCCATACTTCTTGAAACTTTTTAGGAATCATACATACCAGACTGATTATGTCAAAAGAAAAAATAGTAGAATGGGAGTATTCAGGGAACATCCTGTCTGGTAGGACCTGGAAGGGGTATATTTGATTGAAAGATGATTATTGAAACTGGGATTTTGATGATTTAGGAAGGAAAATGGGTATAAGGTAGAAATGTCTTTTATTTATGTATTTTCCCCTGGTATACTATCAGTAAATATTCAATTGAGTATTTTAAAACATCACATTCTAAAACAATTATTTCATTTTTCTGTGCCTTGAATTGTGTATCTTAGATGATGGTGAGAATAACACCTAATGTACAAAATCTCACATATGAATTAGTGAAAGGATTCTTTTAATGCTGTGAGGAAATATTTTGTGCTTCAGTGGGCAGTAACGAATTTTATGTGGGTGCTTGTTAGCAACAGGAGCTCAGCCCAAAGTTTCCAGTTTAAAAGGATTTCCCAACAATCATTTATTTCTATCACCACTATTTTTGTTAAATATTTGCCAGCTTTAAAGTTGTTGGGAAATAACAAATCACTTGATGATTTTTGTCTTTTTATGGGAAACTTTTTGTACATATTTAATTCACTCTTCTCAGCCTTAACTATGTTTCATCAAGATCATATTCAGCTTTTCAACTGATCTTGTTCAGAATTGTTTCTGCATGCTAAAAGCAGCTCATATCTAGAGAAATCTCACTCATTTTGGTCATCGTGGGGCCAGAATAGTATTTTGGCTAGTATTGGGGTTATATAAATTTAGTTTAGACATAAAGTAATTAACAATTAAATTAGTGGAATTAATGTATGAAAATTGGAAGACATACCTGGCAGTCAATAAGTACTGTGTCTGTAGGAGATAGATGTTACAGTCCTGTTGTTTTTAACTTGGAAATTATTTGGCAAAAAACAATAAAAGTTATTTGAATTTAGGAACTTGTTCCTTTGTGCCTAATTTAATAAGTATTTGTTGAATGCCTGCTGAATGACTTCCTAGATGATGATTTCAACGGACTGAATATAAAATTATCCTAGTCTTCATACTTTATTAGAAAATAATTTGCTTTGAAAGTGTAGTTTTTGTTGGACTCACATTCAAGTTTTTAAAAGTTTTTTGAGGGCTGCTTTTATAACTGAGTCAGTGAGGAATTAAATTGTGTGAAATCTACTTTATGCCCAGTTTCTCAATGAACATTTCTTAAACTAATCTAAGATTATATGCACAACTGGAGATGGTAATATGTCTAAGCTTTAATATTTGTCTTAAAATGTATATATTCACAATACGCCTGTTATTGGAACCTTGGTTTTTGTCAGCATGTAACACTTTTGAATTCTGTTTGGAGGGGTTTTGGCGTATGAACTTTCACATTAAGAGCACAGTAGGAGCAGAAGTCTTGTGCTCATTTGCTTGACTACAAATGCATAATTAAGAGAGTCTGTCAGCAGGGGTGGGACAATCAGTATACTCTAATGCTTCATGTTATAGAATCCCTTTGTTGTTCAAACAGATATTGTAATTAGAGCATACTTTTAAACTTCATAGGGCAGCGATTCATAAAGTTTTTCAAAAATCCAAAACAAATACTTTGTTTCTCAAATGTTGAGATTATTTTTTTACTTTGTAGTTTTACATCACTGTATACAGTGGTTTCAAAAATGAAATGGAAGTTGTTTTATTGAAAAGTGGTAAAATTTAGTTATAAACAATGGTGTTAATTAGTCCTAGCTTAGTAATAATGTTGGAAATACGCATTGTATATTAAGATCTAATTTTAGTTTTAACAACCTCACCTATTCGAAACTTTAAAGACTAGAGGAATTTTATGTAAGTGAAATAGCTACAGATTTATCCTTTTTGTATATATGTATCATTGTAATTTGATAGGTGAGTCTCTCATTTAGGGAGAAAGCATTTTTCTCCCTAGGTGCAAGAGATCTGTTATACCAGATGTTTTTCTCCCAGTTCTTGACATTATTCTGGATGTGACTTACTCAGAAATTCATTTATGGAGAAAGAATACTTGACATGAAGTTAGGAGATAGGACAAATATAGAAAGACAAAACCAAATCTACTAAATAATCTCATCTACCCCTTTATCTGCCTTCAAAGTCCCCGCCAGCTCTAAATTCTGTGAGGACAAGATGTGCTTAGAATTCTACACAAAAATATTTAAAGGTAAAAAGGTAAAGTAAAAAATTCTAGAGATTCCACTATTCTGTGTTCCGTTTCTGGTTTTTCACTATTTTATGATGCTGTTTTAGGTCAATTTCTCATGTAGGTGATATGTTGTGCTAGGAATTAGTTGTTGAGGGTGCATGCTGTAAAGTTGCTCTGGCTAGGTATGGTAGCTTGGTGGTACAACACTTACTGCCTGACTTGACTAAATCATGTTAAATGTTGGTAAGACTGATAGTCCCAGGTTCATGTAACTTATGAGGATTGAATGAGGTGATGTATTTATATTGCTTAGCATTGTCCTTGGCAAGCAGTGTTTGATAAAAGCTTAGTTGCCATCATCATTTTCATTTTTAAGTTTGCTTATCATCACCTAAGTCTAATTTATCTCACCATAGTATACTTGTCAAGAATACAGACCATGATAATCATTAATAATTGTGACTATCTGCTCTGCCATCAAGTGTGAATGAATTATAAAGTTGCTTAGCAAGCTACTATATTTGAATTTGCTGTATAAATAGAGCTATTTTCCATTTCCATGGAACCTCTGTTGTTATTGCACCCTACCTTAAAAGATGGAAGGTTAGTGGTTTTGAGCTCTGAACATATTTATACATATAGTATTTATATGTAATTTGCCTGTGCTGTCACTTTGCTGTTATATTGAGATAGAACTTTAGTCTTGCAGTTTTAAAAAATACTTTTGACCCATCTTGTCTCCTGTTCTTCTGATACATCAAAACAAGGTAGCATTGAGGTTTTAGAGTAAAAGATAAGCAGACTGATGGGTTGTGAAAACCAGACCTCATAAGAGTTATTGTAGAAAATCTGGGAGAATTGACTAGAAGTAAGAGAACAAGAAATGGAGTAAAAATTGTCATGTACACCTGGTAACTAAGGAGAAAGAAAGAAGCCGTCCCAGAAACCAAGATACAGGAGCAAAGGTGAATATATGAGGGATTAACTAAACAGGCACAGTAATCATTAGTACAGCAGAGCACTGTGGGAAAGCTGCAGCATATTCATGCACAGTTTGATATTTGATTTGAATGATGCTCTTCAATCATAAAAGTTCAATTATTCAATTCAGTAAATACTTGTTTAGAGCCAGATATGTGTAAAATCAATGTGTACATACTGTCAAGAGTATGAAAATCAGTGAGATGATTCTGATATTCAACTTGGAGCAAACTTTCTAATAGCTAGAAAAAGACAATGCACAGATAACTAAGTTACTATATAATACAGAAAAAAAAGAAATAAAAGTAAATATTAAAGAAAGGGAAAGGAGGCATTCTAGACATAGGCGATAGATAGCTTCCATAAACTTATGGGTGTCAAAATCCATGTTTGGGGAATGGCCAGTAATACAGCATGGAGTAAATCTGAGCCTATCGTGGGAAGTGAATGAACACGGCACTTCAGATTAGTGTGGATAGATGTGAATGGGTGCATGTGCAGCAGCCAGTCTCTGTCAAAGCACAAGTAAGCCATGACTGTGTTTCAGAGATTTCCTACAAAGCCTCAAATTCTAAAAATCCACGCTGATTCAGAAAATTCATTCAGGATGAGTAATAGCTGAGACATTAATTGTGGACAGATTTGCAGCAGGGAGGTATGAACCCCAGTTTGGACATGTGGAGTTCAGACTGCTTTAGAGATTGAAGTATACATTTCTAGTTGGCAGTTGAATTTGGAGGTCTAGAAATCAGGGGGCAGTACTGTGCTGGAAAATGTAAATTTGGGATTATATTGATGCAAAACTGTGTTCTTCTATGTTGCTGAAGATTTAGTAGCACATATATTATGAAATGATATTGCAAATGGTAACTGTAAAACAGACATTATAGTAGTCATGAGCTATTTTTTTCCACATCAGTATCTCAGCTATTAACCCCTGAAAGATTGTTTGAAACATAATTGTAAAAAGAAACGAATGCCTCGTAGAACACAGTTTCTAATAAATACAGCATTTTTGGTGTGCGTCCATATCATCATCCCTCCTGTCTGCTTATTTCAACCTTTTCTTTGTCCTGATGTATTTAAGTGAGAAAATGGGTTTTGTGAGTGGATTCTTACTATGGATATTTTAAGTTCAGAAGTAACCATCCTATAATTGCATCTATCCTTAATGACTAAAAGAGGACCTTTTGGGGTGTGTTTTATTGATTTCTCTATAAAATTTGCCAATCCCAGATTGCCTTTATAATCTGCTTAAGAAACAGAATGAGATCACAGGGAGAAATAGTATTTGTATTAAATAATTACTAAGCTGCAAACTCACTGAAGGAATTTAACTCTTCTTGAGCTGGAATGGACTACAGTAGAATGAATATGGCTTCATGGCTTCTGCGTAGCATGACCTCAAAGCCTTTTTTTGTGTGACATTTGATATGCACATGGATGAAAGATTTTCTGAGGCCTGATGTGGAAAACGGGTTGGTCGGTCTCTCTCTTCACACTGCACCCCCTCCAAAACACTAAAAGAGGTGCTTTTAGTGTTTACTTTCAATTGCTACATTGTTTGATTTTGAAGTGTCCGCTTCATTTATTCCTTGTGGTGAAAACTCAGTGGGTCCTTTTCATCTGGAACCTCAGATCCCTCAGTTTTGCGAAAAATATATAACATTGATGATTTTTCTCCCTCTGCTTTCTTTTTCTTTATATTGGTAGTTGGACATCGTCATTTCAGTTTCTGAACCTCTTGGACTAGTCCTCTAATATTATACAGTTCTGCACCATTTTTTTTTATCTCTGTCTTTTGCTACTTGGAGAGTTCCTCAGTTTGTCTTCCAACCTTCTATCAAATTTTTCATCTTTGCTCTCATGTTTTTAGTTGCAGGAGTTTCTATTTGTATTCAAAATTTTTAAATAGAGCATTCTTGTTTCAGCATTGTAGCGTCTTTTATTAACTCTCTGAAGGGTCAGTTGTTCAAGTCTCCTGTCCCCAAGATGTGGGCCTGGGTTCCCTTGCTCTGCATTTGGAGCAGGGGAGATGGCCGGCCAGCCCAGCTGTCAGAGTGGAAGTTACCCTGTCAACTGTTCTCCTAATGCAGTTTGAGCAAGTGTTTTACTTCCTTTCAGAATCAGTTTCTGGTCTACTGCTGGGAATTAGGGAGTGCTTGATAGCTAGCCATTTGTGGACAGGGGATATGGGAATTGAACTGCTTTTTAATGAGAGTTCATCTAGTCCTGCAATCTCAGCCCCACCCTCACCCCTGTTTTCACTGCTGCCCATTTCCTCAGTATTTTTGGGGTGGATTGCAAGGAAATAAGTTTCTTTCTTAACTAGAGTCAGGTAAATTTTAAGTTAACCATCTGCTTTCTAGATTCTTAATTTTTAAATGGTTTCCTTTCCCATTTTCTTACTTCTTACGAGTTTGGACATTTTATTTATTTATTTATAATAGACACAGGGTCTGACTGTTCCCCAGGCTGGCCTTGAACTCCTGGGCTCAAGCAGTCTTCCTGCCTCGGCCCCCCCAAAGTGCTGGGATTACAGGCATGAGCCACTGTGCCCGGCTGAGTTTGTACATTTTAAACTCTGCAGTGTTGTAGAAGAATTTTTGGTGGGAGTGTAAGTACACCATTCCATTAATTTCTCCATCTTTGAAAATTTTTGCTCCTTCAATTGTTTTTAAAAGTGTAAGCAAAAATGTTGATTTTGAAGCAAACAGGGTAGATGTAGCTTTCTCCTATTTTTATATTTTTAACTATCATTTAAGTTGTTGAATTAGTAAGAGTACGCATTGGCCAAGTGTTTTACACCTTAAAAATGTATTCTTGCAATAAAGCAAAATGGCAAATAATACTGCAACTTTGTTTCTATCATGAAAATAATTATTCCTTTTAAATTCTCTGGCTTTTCTCCATGTATAGAGGTTTCTGCGGCAAGTCAAATTTTAGTTTTTATTCTTAAGCTTTTCTCAAAAATATTTGATTATAAATGTTCCTCAGTTTTCATTGTATTAGTATCTATATGCATTAGTGTTTGACACACACACATAGAGCTTTTAATGTCTTTGTCTATTTATAATAACATCTGTATCACTTCTAGATTGGTTTGAGTGAATTGATTGGGGGGGAGGTGGTCTCATGTATTGCATTTTTCTTGCTGCTTTGCATGCCCGTTAATTTCTAATTGTATGCCAGACTTTTACCTTGTTGGGTGGATATTTTTATATTCCTATAAATATCTTTGAGCTTTGTCCTGGGACACAGTTAAGTTAGTTGGAAATAATTTAAGGCATTTGGTCTTACTTTTAAAATGTATTTAGTTGTACTGGAACAATGCTTAGATTAGGTTTAGTTTTTTCCTACCACTGAGGCAAGACCTTTCTGTGTCCCTTACCCGTGGGGAATCCTTCAAGTCTTTCAGTCTTGTTCTTTTCTAGAGCCAGGCACTTTGACCTGGAATCCTTTTGGGTGGTTCCTTCCCTGGCCTCTGGAATTTTCTCTCAAGTATGCAACGATCAGGGTTCAGCTGAATATTTGAGTGGCAGCTCTCCCAGGACTCTCTGAGCTTTGGCTGCCTCGGTTTCCCTGGACTCTTGCTTAGTCTCCTCATGGAGTTGTCTGGAGACTCTCAAGCCAGTGAGTGGGGGCAGTTATAGGCTCACCTCAGTTGTTCCCAACTCTGTGTCATTTGTCCTTAGTTGTCTGATGTCCAGTGGCTTGAAACTTGTTGATACGTTTTGCCAGTTTTTTGGTTGTTTCAGCAGGAAGGTGAATCTGGTTCCTGTTACTATATCTTGCCTGGAAACAGAAGTCCCTCATATATATGCGTTTAGTCAAATAGGTGCACTTTTAGGCCCACCAAATAATACCAGACTAGTAGCTTTTGTAGGTCTCTCTCCAAAAAAAAAAAGATAAATAAAAAATACAAATTTTGGTGAGAAAATACTGTTAGCATTCTTGAACATAACAATTGAAATCTGGATAACAAAACTAATTTTTCTTGCCACAGTTAGAGATATTAATACATATTTTATTTCTTGCCATACAGATAACCCTGAGGTTTCCAGTTTCTTGATTCATTGACTCCTTGGTTTCCCACTTAGTTTGCATGGTGTACCCTAGTCAAAAAGAAATATTTCAGAGTTCTGTTTATTAAATATTTACTCTACAAACAACTTTGAAACAGACTATACATTTTATTTGTAAATAACCACATTTTTACTAATAGCATTTGTATTTTCTTGGGTGCTGTTCAAATTCTCAAACTTTGGAATCAGATTTTTGTACTGCCACCCTCTTTTCTTGTTCCACATTGATTTTTGTATGTTCTTGATTTTTATTACAGCAACCGCTAACAACCTAGCTTTGTAAAGATATGACATCATCAAAAAGAATGTAATGTGACCTTATGTTGAAACAGTCAGATATTCTGAGCTGGTGGTTCACACAGTGTCGGACAGATGGTACCCCTGTAAAATGCTGTGCTGACTCAGAGTTCACTCTTTGGAAATACATAGATGGCCCAGCATAGGATTGTGTCTGATTTTTTTTTTCCCTGTATCCCCTTACAATATGTGGATGCATTTTCATCCTAAAGATGTGTTGATTAAAAATAAAGCAGAAGCATTTACTGTTAAAATTTATTTTTAGCCTTATTGGCTAAGCTCAATCATGTGAATTGTTGCAGAAAGCAGTTTTATTATGCCTGCTTTATTTTCTTTTACTGGAATCTAACAATTAGGTAAATAGTAACTTCTAAAATAAAGGTCCAAAAACAGCAGATATTTATTGTTTGTCTGTGGTACCTTGCTGTGTGCCAGGTGCATTTATATTTACCATTTATATACTACTTATATATTCTTATTTTATTTAAAAACACTTTCTCTAAAACTTAAAACAGCGATTCTGAAATTATGCCAACTCTACTTAACCTCCCTGTAGCTTAACCAGGTTTTCAACATGGGGATATTTCTTACTAGAAGACATTAAGGAAATGAAATATAGATATTCTCTATGAAACTAGTATTTATGACTTGATATAATTAAAGAGTAGCCTTACAGTTAATTTTAAGGTATGGTCTGATGGGAATGTAGATAAAACTATTTTCATAATTACCGCATGAAATACTTAAAACAAGTGGTAGTCATCTTACACAATAACATCTATATGCAAAATACCTTTTCTAATGCTGAATACAACCAATGTCATTAAAAGCAGTTGTAATGAAGTGGAAAGATCACTGAATTAGAGAATGAAAACTTTGATTCAGTTCCTAAATTGACAGCCTGTTAGCTGTGTGACATTGAGAGGTGACCCCCTTAACCTTGATGACCTTCTGTTTACTTATAAGTAAAATGCAGAAATAATGACATGTTTCTCAAAGTGTTTTTCATGGTAATGTAAGGACAGTATCAGATGTATGTTGTATGATACTACATACATGATGATGATGTATGCTTCTAGTGCATAGGAGCACGCTTGGGGCTGATCTTTAGCATCTGGTTCTGTGCCTGGTAGATAGTAAGTGCTCAGTAAATACTTGTTGGATTAATTATCATTTGACCCAGTAGTCTCACATTCAATCAAACTTTGAGGACCCAGAAAAATAATTCAAAGACTTGTGCCATCATAGCAAAATAATGCAAACATAGCTGAAATAATTGACAACAGGTTAGTATTATGAAAGATGTGCTCTCTCTTTAAAGAGAATAATTTTAATCATGTACTCTGTAAATTTTTTAGGAGGAGCAAAATAGAGGCAAGCCCAATTGGGAGCATCTAAATGAAGATTTACATGTACTAATCACTGTGGAAGATGCTCAGAACAGAGCAGAAATCAAATTGAAGAGAGCAGTTGAAGAAGTGAAGAAATTATTGGTACCTGCAGTAAGTAATAATTTCCAGACCTTAGATTTGGGCCTCGTCCTTTTTTGTCAGTTTATTTTAAATTATCGTAATGTTTATAAGGAATAGGTTATTGGTTGTTAGAAATTTTATTTAAGCATAAAATTAAAAACACCTGACTGATACTTCTAACATAATAAAAACATAAAGTTCGTATTTAGGGGTCCTTAGATAGACATTAAAAGGGGTTTTGGAGGGTGACGTCGCGTAAGAAATTATCCAGATGCTTTTGTGTTATCAGTTCTCCTTCCTTCCCGGTTTCTCTTTCCCCATCTCTTCCCCCATCTCTTCCCTCTGCCCCCCTTCCTTGGGTTGGCTCCTTATTGTTTCTTAACCCTTTAATATTTTTAGAAATAATAATTGTACTACTCCCAGAGTATAATTTTTTTTTTTTTAACGGGAAATGAAAAATAAATTACTGGTTTTCTGGGCCATTAATTTTTTTTTCTTATATTAGTAAAACTATATGGAAATGTGGACCCTAATTTGCTATTGGAAAAACTAGGGCTGGGTGCGGTGGCTCATGCCTGTAATCCCAGCACTTTGGGAGGCTGAGGCGGTTGGATCACCTGAGGTCAGGAGTTTGAGCCCAGCCTGGCCAACATGGTGAAACCCCATCTCTACTAAAAATACAAAAAATAAGTCGGGCGTGATGGCAGGCACCTGTAATCCCAGCTACTTGGGAGGCTGAGGCATGAGAATCGCCTGAGCCTGGGAGGCAGAGGTTGCAGTGAGCTGAGATTGCGCCACTATACTCCAGCCTGGGTGACAGAGTGAGACCCTGTCTCAAAAAAGAAAAGAAAAAACTAGGAATACTGTTAGTATTGTGTCCAACAAAAAGCATTGGCATTTACATAAATGAGTTATGGTTCCTGCTGCTTTTTATTTCCCAGATAGCCTATTCTTTATTACCCTGATAGTTTATTCAACAAGTAAACTCACAAATCATAAACATTTCCCATTAACTTGATGAAATTAATTCCTTGGAATAAAAGAGTTTTATGTAAATTCTGTTGGTAGATTTTATTTTTTTTAATGATCAGGTTAAATATAAACTAAAATCTATATTTGTGTACTATTAAACCATGGAATCTTTCTCATTTTCCTTAATTGTGTGGTATTGAAAAACTGTATAGAAAAGGAGATTTTCGAAAGTATACTGGGCAATTAGTGTCATGATCAGAAAAAGTTATTTAACATCGACTTTTACTGCTTTAATAACATTTTCTTTTCTGTAGCTTACTTTATTGTAAGAATACGGTATATAACATATAAAACATACAAAATATATGTTGATCAACTGTCAGGCTTCCAGACGACAGTGGGCTATTCGTCACATTTTGGGAGAGTTGAAAGTTACACAAGGATCTTTGATGCAGTCTGTGTCCCTGACAACCGAGCCCTCCCTTGTTGTTTGAGGATCAACTGGATATTGTTAGCGTCTTTTAAATTTTCTATTTACCCAGTCACCTGTAATCTCTTGTCTTGCTTACCATTTTTATTTCTAGTGTTTAGCATAGAGCCCAGCACATAGCAATAACATAGTAAATTGAAAAATAAATGATTGAATCTTGTCATAAGGTAAAATCAGTTCCTTCATCTTCACTATAGAAATGCATAAAATAACTGAATTTTCCTGAAGCATCAAATGATTTGGGTTTTTACTTAAATAAATGTGGGAGACAGAATACATCATATTTTTGAGAACTCACTTCCTGGTTTTTGAATCCCAGCTTTGTGACTTTTAACTGTCTTCATTTTCTCATCTATGAGATTGGAACATGGCCAAGCATGGTGACTCATGCCTATAATCCCAACACTTTGGGATGCTGTGGTGGGAGGATCATTTGAGGTCAGGAGTTCGAGACCAGCCTGGGCAACATAGCAAGACCCCTTTATACAAAAAATTTAAAAAGTAGCTGGGCCTGGTGGCACATGCCTATAGTCCCAGCTACTTGGGAGGCTAATGTGGAAGGATCGCTGAGGCCAAGAAGTTGAGCTATATGATAGCACCACTGTACGCCAGCCTGGGTGACAGAATAAGACCCTGTCCCTTAGGGGGGAAAAGAAAGTTTGGAGCATTATAAACCCCTATACTTCTTGTGAAGATTAAATGAGATGATACATGGAGAATACTTAGCATAATACCTAGCACATACATGCTCTGTAAAAGTTTGTTGTTTCTATACAAATGCTGATGATAAAATGAATGCATTAATTCAAGTTGGAAAAAATGTACAGAAATAGTTCCTTGCCAACTCACTGTTACTGTTTTCAGAGAAGTTGCTTTGACTTCTATGAAAATGCAACATAAGGCTCATTAGTTTATCATTGCCTAAATATTTTCAAAGGCAGATATTTTATCTTGAAATGTACCTTTAATAGTGAGGTTCATAATTTTGTATTGTTGACAGTTTGAATAGCAGATGCCCAGTTACCCTGTAGATTAACAGAAATTGCCAGTCTTTTGGTTTGGAATTCTCAGTTACGCTTTTCTTGTTCGTTCAGTATTCTGTTGGGTAGTTTAGACTTTTTAACTTGTTACCATGGTCCTGAAAAACACCAAGTTCAGTCAGGTTACTTCCTGTCTCTCTCAGATTTGCTTACCTTCCTTCATCCCCATTGCCTTTACCTACTTCAAACCATGCTTGTATCAGAACCCCACAACTGGTATTCCTTCTTCTGGGGCCTCTCAAACCCATCTTTACTTTGCAGTCTATTGTTACCTTTCCCTGCTTAAAGATTTTTTAGTGGTGCCTTCTTACTCTGAGAAAAGAATACAAAACTCCTTAGCATGGCCTACAAATTTCTTCATGATTTGCCATAGCTTACCTTTCAGGTTTCATTTTTTTACTTTTTGCTATACCTAAAGCACACAGTCATATGTACACATCTTCCTCATCCTGCCACAGATTGAGTTGTTCTGTATTTATTTGAATTTCTTAAAGCTTCAGTCTTCTCACCTCTGGGCCTTGTAGTTCATTCAACAAATGTTAATTGAATGCCTGCTGTAGGTTAGACACTGTGACAGCTGTGGAGGATACACCAATAATAAATAAAAGCTGACCAGCAAAGTGCCTGCCATCCTGAAGTTTACCTTCTGATTGGGGTTGGATTACTGACAATGAGGAAAACAAATATAGGCAATATTCTCTTTTAACAAAGTGCTGCGAAGAAAAATAAAGCAGAATAAGGGAATAGAGAACTGGGATTAGGGAACTGCTATTTTATATGGGCTGGTAAGAGAAGGTGACATCTAAGAAAAAACCTTAGCGAAAAGTGCGGTGGCCCTGAGGCATGTTCAGAGAGTATCCAGGGGTCCAGTGAGGAGCTTAATGAGCCGGCTGAAGAGCAGTAGGAGGTGAGGTCGGTGGGGATGGGAGGCACTGGCAGATCCAAGGCCTGTAGGCATGGGAAGGAGATTGGGTTTTAGTCCGAGATGAGAAGCTATTTATTGGAGGAATTTGAGGAAAGGAGGGACAAAGTGTAATTTGTATTTCAAAGGATCATTCCAGCTGCTGGCCTGAGAATAGACTTTGAGGGCAGTGGGGAAAGCAGAGATTCCAATAAGGAAGTCTTTGCAGTTCAAGTTAGAGATTAAAGTGATTTGGAGTAGTGTTGAAGGTGCTGAGAAGTAGTAAGATCATGGATTTTTTTGAAGGTAAAACTGCTAGGAATTTTGACAGACTTGGTGTGATATGATATGTGATAACTTCAAGCAATTGGAGTTGTCATTTATTTACACTTTTACAAGAGCAGGTTTGGGAGGAAAGTCAAAAAATTGGATTTGAAAGTATAAAAGTTGATAGCAAATGTTGAATGGGCATTTGGTTATAACAGGAATTAGGTGAGAAAGTGGAACCTAGAATTATGTAGAATTAAGAATTGTCATTAGATCAAAAGCTTTTTGAGCCATGAGACTGGATGTATCATCAAGAAATTGGATATAAGTATAGAAGAAAAATTGAGGACTAAACCTGGGGTGCTTCACCATGTAACAGGAAGAGAGGGAGGATCCAGCAAGGGAGAGCAAAGCGGGGAGCCCCTGGATTTGGAGGAGAGCTGTGAGCCAGTCCTGGAAGTCATGCTTAGACCTTTTAGGTAGGAAGAGGAAATCATCAGCCATTGGATTTGGCAAGTAGTGGTCATTGGTGACCTTGCCAGTCAATTTGTTTTTTTTGGAACAGTGGGGTTAAAAGTGTCACTGGCATGGGTTCAAGAAAGAATGGCACAAGAGGAAAAAGAACCGGGATTTTTTCCCTCTTCAAGATTTTATTATGTTTATAAATAATCCTTCCTGTACTTTGGCCTCTCGGTTCTTTTATATTGCTTCACCTGCAGTGATCGTGTCTTCCACTCCACCTCAGTCATCCAGCCTCATGGTAGTTCCTTAGACCTTTCCATTACCCCTAAAGGTGCCTTCCTAAATAGGCAGCGGCAGAATGTCCAGTAGTGAACATTTCCCTTCTCTTCAGTGGAAGAGATGCTGCATGAATTTGGCAGAGTTAATTAACTTGTGCATATATACTTGAAGGGTAAGTCTCTTGAAGTAGAATTACTAGGTTAAAGGGTAAGTGCATTTTAAATTTTATTATTTTATTCATGTTAAAATTTCTAAGTTGCCTTCCAGAAAATTTGTACCAATTTACTGTCCTGCCAGTATTGCAGGAAAATGCCTATTTCTCAACACACACTCAAACCCTGGATATTATCAAACTTTGATCTTTGCTTTTTCTAATAGGCTTTTTTTTAAAAGCCCTTTAATTTCAAAAATGTGAGTAAAATCTCTTGGTTCTTATAACTATTTGTTATTTAGGTCAGTTTTTATATTAAGGAGCTTTGTGATACTTACGTAACATGAGATACTTTTGTAATGTAAGAACTTTAATGTTCACATCTTGAACTGTTTTTTTTTTAAATGGGAAATATTCCATTTACATTATCATATAAAGAATGAATAAGTTCTTTTTTTTTGGAAAGATAGAGTAAGTTCTTTTTTAGAAAGACAAAGAGTTTTGTGTATTTTAATCATTTTGTGCCCATTTTGTTAGGTGTTGTATAGCAAAAAACATCTAGTCCAGGCTTGAGGGTCCTAGCAGGGTGGGGAGTAGGGAGGGGCAGACTTTTTGCTTAATATAAACTTTCATAAGGAAATGTAATAAGTATTTTGTGTTTTTCCATCTGCAGAAAAGACTAATAAATCTGATTAAAGATTGTACTTCCTTCTCTTTGTGATGCAGTTCTAATTTTTAAAATAATTTTGAAGATTGTAATATTTCATCAGTTTGCATAACTTTACATGTAACTAAATGTTTAGTAAATCAGTTCAAATCTTTTCAATTCGTATTTGGGTTTCAAAACAATCTGGTAGACTTCTTTGTTTTTTACCAACAAGCGTGCAAACTCAGAGAAGCTTGAGCATTATAAGGGCAATTATACTTGTTTCTTTTCAGAGAACAGTTCAGTATTGTAATTATACTGCAAAAGTAATAAGGGTTTTGAGATAATCACACACCATTTATTAGTAGAATCAAATAATATTTTACCTGGAGAACATGTTTACTCTGAAAATGACACCAGTTTAGTTTCAGATGTTTCTTTGATTTTGATGATCAGTTTACTTTATTCCTTTTTGTTTCCTGGTGACAAAACATGAAATAACTAGGCAGGAGTTGTTTCTCAAGTTATATGTAGGTTTTTATCTAGTCTAAATTGGTTGACTTCAAATATCTACTTTTTTTTTCTTCCTGATCCAATCTAGTTCTAGAGTTTTATCAATTTTATCAACCGTTTTCTAAGTATCAGCTTTTGGTTTTGTTGATTTTTCTCAATTTTTTTTCTGTTTTATTGATATCTGCTTTTACATCTTTATTCTACTAAGGTTTAGTTTTACTTGGGGACATTTTAAAGGTAGATCAGTGATTTGAGACCTGTCTTTTGTACTTCTGAGACTTTTCTTTTAAGGACATACATTCCTCTCTGAGTAATGTTTTAGCTGTATCCAACAAATAATATTATGCTGCGTTTTTATTATCATTCAGTGCAAAAGTTTTTTCCAATTTTCTTTGTAATTTCTTCTTTGAGCCGTGTTTTATTTCCAAATGTTTCCAAATATTTGAGACTTTTCTGTTTATCATACTGTAGATTTCTAATTTGTTATGCTCAGTATGTATTTGATAAGATGGTAGTCTTTTTTAATCTAATAACTTTTTGCTAGCCCAGCATATGGTCTGTTTTGATGAATGTTTCACATACACTTAAAAGAATGTGAATTCTGCAGTAGTTGCGTGTATATTCTGTATTGTTTATAGATGAAGATAGTTGAAAGCACTCAGATCTTCTCCTATGTCTACCCTTTTTTTTTTTTTCCTTTTCTCTAGTTTTGTCTGTTACTGAAAGAGGTGTGTAAAAATCTCCATTCATTCATTGTAAAGATATACACACCAGTGTGTTCTTGATGGCACTGAAAGGGCAAAAGAATTTGGTGTACACATGTACATGCATGCATATCTATGTATGTAATCCGTCTATTATAGCTTATACAACCTGTATGAACATGGTTTGGCATCATTAAAAAGTTTTACTCTATTTCATTTCATATGATAGTAACTTTTTCCTTCTTTTAATTTTGAGGTCTTTATTTTTTTCTCCCCAAATACCAGTTATTTCATGCAGCATCTTTTCTATAAAGATAGTACCAAGCAGTATGGCCTACTTGCCTTAGAGAGACTTTGTAAAGGTAGTAATTATTTTAATTATGTGGACATGAAAGGCGCATACATGTTCCTCCTTCCTCTTTTTGCATTTTATGTGTTTAACTATGTATGGGCTGGTTACTTGCAACTGCATGTCATTTGCAAGTTCAATTTGTGATCCCAAAAGGCACCATACCAGGAGAGAGTACTTCTGTTCCTTCCCTACAAAATGTACCCTGTTTGCTAGTCATGATTTTGTCAATATAGGTTTTTATTTACAAGGAATAGTAGCCCCCCCAAAAAATGAAATTATATAACATTACTAAAAAATAATATATATAAAACTGTCTCTCCACACAGGAGCACACATTATGGGAATGCTTCTCAGGTATCAGATACCATCCTTCCTCCTTCCGTTAATCCTCATTCATCTAGTTGGAAAGTAATACATGATATTTCTTAGTCAAGACTTTATATGGATACATATTCTATGATCTTTTGTGATCTTCTCAGAAGAGACCTAAAACACACAAGAATGGTGAAATTGGAGGAATATTATGCTGGATTATGCTGATATTAAGATTGAGAAAGTAGAGATGAGGGATCCTGTATCTTGTTTTCACTATAATTTTCCCACAGTTTTAATAGGAAGTGGGGAGGTAAAAGGTTTCCATTGGGGAGATAGAGTACTAAGCTTGAAAGGGCTAGACTGTAATACAGAAATTAAGTGATTTCAGGCAACTGAAGTTCATTGATGTTGTCTCATAAGTTAAAACAGACTTTGGCACACAATATGCCTGCAGACCTAGACATTTCATAAAGTGTTGAAATAACAGGTCTTTTTCTTTATGGTGAGTAAAATTGTGTGTTTGTTTTCTCTGTATGTTTACTTTATAGGTATTTGAGAACTTGAATACAGATCAGTTTTTAACATATAGCTGATCTCTTTATATACATGGAGGTCAGTACTATAAAAGTAAATGATCTAATACATGACGACAAATTTCCACCTGCGGGTTTTGAAATTTAAAGTTGTCATCAGGATTATTATGACATTTGAAAATATTCATCAAGACAAAAGTAATTTTAATTCATTTTCAAAAAACTACATGTTATAGAAATTTAGGATAATAGGCATCTGTTACAAAATGCACTTTTTAAAAGTTTGCATTTTGTGTTCCCCAAAGGTTCTTTTCTGTCTGCCATATGCATTTGACTCATAATTAACTGAGTATTAATTATAACCTGAAAATGTTAAGAGTTAATGAATGAGAAGGTAACAGACATCATGACCATAGAGATGTGGTAATTTTATCTTTGATTTAGTTCTTTAACCAAATTGTTAATGAGTTGATGGTACTGCATTTATTTAGTCCTTGATCAAATATTGATCATTGAAATTTGTGGTATTGTTGGCCTCCTTTTCATTTTATTGGGAGAGAAGGAGAGGTATTAAAACATATATTAAAAGACATCTAGAGGTAATGTACTGGCTCCTTGATAGAGCTGTAATGGGAAAGAACATCTCTCATGTAAAGAAAGGTGTTGTTACTGATTTCTACCTTGCAGAGCCATTTTAATCTGAATGGGAAATCTGTCTGGGGACCCAGAGTGTGGTAATTAGCAGTCTCTTCAGAGTGTCAGAGCAGAATTACCATTGTAATGGTTTAGCTGCAGGATAAAAGGATTGAATTTGGGACTGCCTGTCTGCCAACCTAAATGAGTTGCCATGGGAATTTTCAAATGTGAGAGGCGTTTACTTAAAGCTTTTTGGCGGGTTTGAATAAACTCATAAATTGTAGGTTTGAAAGAAGGCAGTCCTTGCTTTCTCTCATATAGGCAAAACTGTATAGAAGGCTGATAGCTTCTTAAATTCTTAATGAGAATGAGTTGATCCATGTTCCCATGCAGGCCATCAGCTTATTCAGGCTTGTTTTTTCACTAAGTATGGTACAATGAAGCACATTTGAGGAAAGACATTTTGTTCCAAGTCTCTAGAGGAAAAAAGTGACAACTCTAGATATAAATTTCCTATCTTAATTTAAATATATTTTCAGATAATGCTATTATACTGATTCTTTGTTTTGCTTTAACAAACGTTAACCAGATACTGACTTTAATTTTACTCAGTGCATGTAATAAATACATATTTTTATCTTTGTCATAGTTTTTCTCACAAAGTAAGAACATTTAAAGCCCTTTTGGAAAATAAATAAGATACTTAGGTTTATAAACTGGATTATTCAGGTTGCACGTAACTACAACCTGCATATACATGGGTTCCGCACCCATGGATTCAACCAATGAGGAAATTCCACAGAGTTTCAAAGAGAGCAAAATTTAAATTTGCATCCTTCAAGCACTACATTGAATCCACATGAATGAAGTGATATGTGGGCGTTGCATTAGGTATTATAAATAATCTAGAGATGATTTAAAGTAGACTGGAGCATGTGCGTAGGTTATATGCAAATACTATGCCATTTTATATCATGGACTTGAGCATTCATGGGTTTTGGTATCTGTAGATTTTGGTGTTCTGGAACCAGTTCCCCGCAGATAATGAGGGACAACTGTACTTTCAGAGAGAGCTTCAGCTCTCCCCTGTCTCTCAAAAGAATTAAATTTTGGTGTAATGACTTTTTAGTGAGAAAATGTTCCTGCAAATGTCTAAGGTGATGAACATCACTTACACTTTGCGTGCCCTCACTCATCCTCAAGATATCAGTAATAGTAGTTCTTACATTGGTGGTTTGTATCTGCCCTTCAGAAAAACACCCGAAGTACAATTTAAGCCAAAAATTTTGAGACTGTAAAATACTTTTAACAAAATAAACATGGTCTTTTTGGAGGTCTTAACATTGTCAAGCCATTAGGGTACAGTTTCATTAAGCAAATAATAATTTGGTTGTTACTAACCCTAGTGGCCTGAAAATGTGGATGCGTCTTTCAAAAATGTTTCACCAGGGAAATGTGGGTATTTTGAGGAGAGAACAGTTGTTCAATTCAGGTGAGAAAGAGTAAAATTTTTTAAGGTACAATACATTTTTTGTTTATATATTAATCTTTACTGGTCAGTATGTAATCACACATCAGTATAATCTGATTAAAATCCTATAGCTCTAAGATAACTGTTGAACCATTAATAAAACTTGAGTCATGGACAGATAATGTCCTAAAATCTCATTTAAGTGTAGAATACAAAGACCCATGTAGTCCTTACCAGAGATCTCTGTAATTTCTGCAGAGCTCCTTGGAATCACAGCCATCACCTTTGTGTGCTGTGTGTAAGGTACTCTCATGGGTATGTGCTGCTTTGGGAAAAATGATGGCGGAGAAAAGCACTGCAGAAATTTAAATGTGCTGATTTTCTTTCCTGTGAAGAGGGACAATTCTAAGTAAAATCCAGTTCTATATCAGGGTCATAATTTTTATATTCTATCTCCACATTTTAGGTGTGTGGCTTATTCTGCATTAGGACAACAGGCACATTGTCCTAACTAGAATTTTCACAAATAATTAAAAGTACCATTTGA
This sequence comes from Homo sapiens, assembly GCF_000001405.40. NCBI lineage: Eukaryota > Metazoa > Chordata > Mammalia > Primates > Hominidae > Homo > Homo sapiens. The sequence continues at coordinate 163,545,375 of NC_000006.12, forward strand.
TTCGGGTGACATTCCATACAGACAGATTAAGAAGTTTGCCAAGGTATAGGTTTTAAGACTTCCCTCAACATCATACCATAATTATCTAAATCATTGAGCAGCTATATAAATCTTTGCTTACCGTCTGTCCAGCCGTAATGTTGCCTGGCAGTGACTGTGGCTTCTTAAACACAACAGAGGGCTTTTCCTTAAACTTGGATGTTTAGTTTGATCAGGCTCCTTGGTGATAAAAAAATATGTCTTGTTTCTGGGAACTGAACAAGCTTTCCCAAACAGAGACTCTGTATGAATAACATCCTCCTCTTGATTCTTGTAAGGATTCGTTGAGGAACCGCTTCTTTCAACACAAGGTTTTGTTCAGGTTGACAAAAGGTTTAGACATCTTGTAATTCTAAATTTTAGGCGTTGCAAATGTAAAAAAAAGGGACCCTGGGCATAGAATAATAGGGCCTAGGATATATTTATTAAATTAAATATTTATACCCTAGGAAATATTTTTGCATTTGTAAAGGAAGTCCTTTTACTTTAACTTTGTATTCCTTGCACCCCTCAGAATTTGCATATTTAGTTTGTAACACTTTATAATTGCTTGTACCTATTAATTTAAATATTAATGTAAACTATTTTATAATTGGTATAAATATATAATTATATATTTTATATAATTATATAAAATATTAATATTTATGTCCCATAAACTTCTCATTGGTTGGGATAATGCATTTTAGTGTTTGGGGTTTTTTAAAAATTTCTTTATTAAATGTATGATATTCTACACAGATACTGTAAAATTAATTTCAATACATATTTTTAAATATTTATTAGAAAAATAGGCGAGTGATTTCTCAGTGTATTTTCTTTAGTTCAATTATTTTCATACATCACTTTAATTTGTTTGCATGCCCTTCTGATGGTGGGTAAGTAGCATCATGTTCCTTATATATAGGCAAAGTATTTGTAATCATTCACTTTATAGTAGGGTGCATTGAACTTGAATTAGTAAAAACATTAAGAAAATCACATGTCCCTTACTATATTTAATGTGCCTGTGTTTTAACTCATATTTAATTTTTCTTTACCACATTTCAGATGTTTCAGTGTTTTGATATTTTTAAGTAAAATTATTAGGAGTAACCATTGTGACATTTTAATAGTATATTAAATGATTCAGAAATCACATGTCCCTTACTATATTTACTTTGCTTGTATTTTAACTCATATTTAATTTTTCTTTACTACATTTCAAATGTTTTAGTGTTTTGATATTTATAAGTAAAATTAAGATAGTAACCATTGTGACATTTTAATAGTATATTAAAAGATTCAAATAAGCATTTTAGTATTAAGATTATTTCAGGTAAGCTTTTGGTAGCTCATTATAGCTTTATTTTTGGTTGTATTTTTAATAACTATTTTGGAAAATTTGAAAGTGACTATTAAATTATCCTGCTTATTCATCACAAGGCTCCTTTATGGGAATTAACTCTGAAACCATATTGCCAAATTATATAAATAAGTAGATGTGTTTTGTTTTTTAATTCTCTTAACGTTTAAAACCTTTGTGGAGAAAAACTTAATCTTTAATGTATAAATAAAATATAAGAGTATTTATCAAAGTATCTTTAGTTATGCCTTCAAACTGACATGGCCTCAGCTTATTTTTAGTAACCTTCTTTGTAGAATATAATATTTCTGAGAAAGTTAGCTAATTTAGGAATTAGCTTACTTTGTGACAGTAATTTATGAATTCTCCTGTCAATTTAAATAAAAATACTTTGATTTTTTAATTTAGCATTTGTGGAATTATACTTGGGAATATTTCTTTCAAGCGTTGAACGACTGACAAAAGAAATTCATCTCACAAACTTCTATTGAAAAACTGCAGTTTACAAGGCTAGAAAACAAGACTTCATTATATACAGAGACTTAGATTTCATAATGTAAATGAGAATAGAACAAAATTACTGTGTTCTTAATTGCTTTTTTGATCACTTGATGTCTGCTCTTCAGAACTGTCATGCTCTCACTAGAATTAAAGTATTTCATTTCCAATTTGTTCTTCCTGGACAGTCTGTTCTGTAACCATGCCTCCAGTTACCACTGCAGTGCTGATTGTTTTTCAGCGTGCTTCTAATCTGGAATTCCAAATCAACCAGCCATTCAACACCTCCATGCGGGTGCCACATAGGCATCTCATACATAACATTTTGAAAACTAAAATCACATTCTTCCTTGCCCTCCCCGTATCACAATTCTTCCCTTGTTTTCTCTGTAGAATGATACTTGTTGCCTAGGACTCATCCACCTTCCTTCCACCTTTTTCTCTCCTGCCCTGGCTCCTTCCCATCTATATCATCACCAAGTTCTGTCTGATTCTACCTCCAAATAGCACATATCTTTTCTCCATCTCCACAGATGGAGTAGGTCTGTTACCCATGGTGCTCCCTCCTATCCATTTTCTACTTGAGGCCAAAACTATCTTTTTAATATATAGAAATGTCATCACACTCCTTGTTGTAGGTTTTCAGTGACTTTCTATCACCCCATGGTAAAAATGTATGGCATTCATAGCTTATCTTCATCTAACATGTGCCTACTTTTCCAACTTTGTTTCATGTCATTCCTCCTTTACACTTACACCCACACATATTAAATAACTCACAGTTTTCAGAACACTGTTTGTTTACGTAGTGTATTTTGGCGATCTCCAGAAAGAACTCCGTGATTTGTATTCTGTACTAATATTATAGTAGAATGCATTGTCTATGATAGTGGTGTAGAATTATTAGAACTGAATGTTTGTTTGTTTGTTTATCCCCTTGCCCCTGACTGGGCATTTCAGTGACATGCATGAAGTCTGTTTCATCTTAGTATCTCTCCCTCACTGCCTTGCACATACATAGAAAGTGATCAGTGTTTGTTGAATTAATGATTGAATATTAGTCCTTTAACAAAGCACTTGTTGTTTGCTTTTCATAGTAAAAATGGAACCTAAAAACACATTCATGTAAAATCTTCCACAAGTCACTTACCCCTTTTTGCCTCATTTTTTAAATCACCTCATTAGGTTGCTCTGTTCTAAATCAATTAATATCTATATATGTGTGATGGTCATACACATACGTAAGCCTACCCAAAACTATTAAATTTTACACTTTAAACAGGTAAATATTGTGGTATATAAATTATGGCAGTAAAACTGTTTTTTAAAAGATTGTAATAGAACATGGTCAGTTTGGTAAGGAACTGAAAGAAGGTATGTGTGACCAGAGTGCAGAGTGAGAGAGATTGAGGTGAGGTACCCAGTGAGTAGACCTAGCATGTTTGAGGATATTGATCTTATCTGAAGAGGACTGGGCACTACTGAAGAGTTTTAAGAAGTGAGCCAGGTTTATTTTCATTTTGTCAATATCACTCTGGCTACGAGGTGAGAGAACATCTTAATGGGCCAGAGTGGATGTGTGAAAGGAGACCCGGAAGGTGACAGTTGAGTTAGAACTGGGCAAAATAAGCAGTTATTTAAGTGGTAATATAGACTGGATGTGGTGAATGGTGATTGACTAGAAGGTATCGTTTGTAACTCCAGAATTCTGACTTGTATAACTGGATGGATAGTGCTGTATTCACTGTAATTATAGAATATGGTTGCTGACTGGGTAATTTATAAAGAAAAGAGGTTTAATTGACTCATAGTTCCACATGGCTGGGGAGGCCTTAGGCAACTTACAATCATGGCGGAAGGCATCTCTTCACAGGGCGGCAGGAAAGAGAATGAGTGCCGAGCGAAGAAGATTTGACCAGAGAAATGTGGGAGGAGAGGCCAGAGAGGTTGAGGGGGGGGACATGAGGTTGGTGATGATGAAATTTGAGCAGAGCCAATGTCTCATTTTCCTTAGCAGTCCTGGAGGGGATATGCAGGAAGTATGGACAGGAAAGGGTAGGAAAAGGCTTGTGAACATCCCAGAGAAAGTGTTCTCCTGCACTCCAGTGCTGTGAATAACTTAAGACTCAGTAAAAGACCAACAGCTAGAAAACTTACTTCCTGAAAACACTGCGCTGGGCATGGTGGCTCATGCCTGTAATCCTAGCACTTTGGGAGGCTGAGGCGGGCGGATCTCTTGAGGCCAGGAGTTTGATACCAGCCTGGGCAACATAGTGAATCCCCATCTTTACGAAAAATACAAAAAATTAGTTGGGCATGGTGACGCACACATGTAATCTCAGCTACTCCGAAAGCTGAGGCACAAGAATCATTTGAACCCAGGAGGTGGAGGTTGCAGTGAGCCGAGATCGTGCCACTGCACTCCAGCCTGGGTGACACAGTGAGAACTTGTTTCAAAAAAACAAACAAAACAAAAACATACTACATGGTGTTCTTTACTTGTCTGTGGTTTTTAAATGAACATATATTAGTATGCAATTGTAGTAATGTTTCACTTTGTTATTCTCTACCTCTTAAAGAAAAAATTACCTTCTTTTACAATCTAACACACTACTTTTTTAACAGGTGTTTTAAGCATCTGTTTGTATTTGTTGAACAAATATTTCTTAACATTGTATATACCAGGAACCTAATTGTATACTTTTCAGAGTTAAACTATGCAATCTGTTCTTCAGTAAATGAAGCTTTGACCGTGCAGTCAAATCCATTAAAAGTTCTTCCATGGGAAATTAGGAGAGTTTCAAACTCACAGTGTCTTAGTTTGATTTCTGTTCCTTATAACAATACCTGAAACTGGGTAATTAATAAAGAAAAGGAATTTATTTCTTTGTTATGGAGGCTGGGAAGTCTAAGGTCAAAGGGTGGCATCTGTGAGAGCCTTCTTGCTGGTGGGGACTCTGCAGTGTCCTGGGGCAGCGCAGGCACTACATGGTAAGGGGGTAAGTGAGCTAGTGTGTTCGCCCAGGTCTGTCTTCCTCATCTTATGAAGCCACCAGTTCTCTTCCTGTAATAATCCATTAATCCACTAATCCATTGAGGGACTGATGGCAGAGCTCTCATGATCCACGTTGAGGATTAAGTTTCAACATGAGTTTTGGAGGGGACATTTAAACCATAGCACATAGTAACAAAGCTACTTTTTCTTACAGGAATTTCAGTAATCAGAGATTTGGGGGGAAGCTATGTGGCTATTATTATAAAACTGAGTTCTAACAGGGCAAATCCAGAGTTGAATTACTTCTAACTCTGGTACCACAGCAGTTGCCTTTTTTTCACCACTAACAAACTTTCTTAAATATACGTACGAAATATTTAAAGCACCAGCCACCCCAACAAAGAGCTGCTTATGGCTGGGCGTGGTGGCTGACGCCTGTAATCCCAACAGTTTGGGAGGCTGAGGCAGGTGGATCACCTGGTCAGGAGATCGAGACCATCCTGGCTAACACAGTGAAACCCCATCTCTACTAAAAATACAAAAAATTAGCCGGGCATGGTGGTGGGCGCCTGTAGTCCCAGCTACTCAGAGAGGCTGAGGCAGGAGAATGGCGTGAACCCAGGAGGCGGAGCTTGCAGTGAGCCAAGATCGTGTCACTGCACTTCTGCCTGGGCGACAGAGCAAGACTCTGTCTCACAAAAAAAAAAAAAAGCTGCTTCTGTTGGAGGACAGGGGCATCGATCAAATTTTAACCAATAATGGCCAGCCAATGTGAATGTTATCTAATTCATTGATTCCTGATTCCATTTCTTATGAAAACTAGTATGTTAGAAAAATACCAGTGCTTGCATATCTGTGTGCATAAGGATATAGGAAAACACAAAATCAGTTTCTCCTACTATACTCTCACAACACCGAGTGCTTCTGTGATCTATGGTCATCAAAATTTGTAGGGATTCCTCCTCACCACCAGCAGCCAGTCAGTTCTGACACCAGATTCCTCAGCAGACACCAGCTGGGTGTCCTCCGATTTAATCCTGTTCTGACGCTGTCCACCTGGAGATAGCCTTAGGTCCCACAGGTTGAGGGCTCCAGTTCCACAAGATGTCTCCCACTTCAGGCACCAGTCACAAGTAGTAGGTGGTAGCCCATACTTCTTCCTTACCTTACTTTATTCTAGCTTAGCCTAACTCTGAGGTTCAAGATTTTAGTCAGTAATTTGTGTTGAAGATATCATTAGACATCTGATGAAACAACAAAGAAAAAGAAGATGGGCAGCAACCAAAATTAATTACCTCCTCTGGTGTTACCACCATGACTACATCTGAAAATAGTTTGGGTATAAGTGAAAGTAGCAGTCATGACATAAAATTGTTTTAAATGCCAGGTAGTTTTCTACCGCTACTCTTCTTTGAGGTTGTCAAGGTTGTGCTTGATAGCTTAGAAATCTCATGAATATCTCCTGGTGAAAAGCATTTACTTTGAGGAGTCAGAGTCACTTTGAAAAGTACTTCATTACTGTGATGAATACATTACACAGCATTACCTTGGAAGTCTTGTAAGAGCAGTTGGAGTGAATTAACAATTTAATCACATATCTTCATGGGTAAGTTTAATACTCACAGTTAACTCCCTAAAATTGTATGCAACATTTTTTGCTTACACAGTTGACTTTTGACCATAGTAGGGATTAGGGGAACCACCCCCACGTGCAGTTGAAAATCCACGTATAATTTTGACTCCCCAAAAATGCAGCTCCTAATAACCTGCTGTTGACAGGAAGCATTACTGGTAACAGTTGATCAACACATATTTTGTATGTTATGTATATTATATACTGTATTCTTACAATAAAATAAGCTACAGAAAAGAAAATGTTATTAAGAAAATCAGAAGGAAGATAAAATATATTTGCTATTGAAGCAGAAGTGGATCATCATAAAGTTCGTTCGTTCTTTTTTTTTTTTTTTTTTTTTTGACAGAGACTAGCTCTGTTGCCTAGGCCGGAGTGCAGTGACAAGATTTCAGCTCACTGCAAGCTCCACCTCCCGGGTTCATGCCATTCTCCTGCCTCAGCCTCCCAAGTAGCTGGGACTACAGGTGCCCGCCACCACGCCTGGCTAATTTTTTGTATTTTTTGACTAGAGACAGGGTTTCACCGTGTTAGCCAGGATGGTCTCGATCTCCTGACCTCATGATCTACCTACCTCGGCCTCCCGAAGTGCTGGGATTACAGGCGTGAGCCACCGTGCCCAGCCTCATAAAGTTCTTTATCCTAATCATCTTCATACTGAGTAAGCGGAGGAGGAGGAGGGGTTGGTCTTGCTGTTTCAGGGCTGGCAGGGGCAGAAAAATGTCTGTATAAAAGTGGACCTGCATGGTTCAAGCCCATCCATATTGTTGGAAGGTTCAGCGGCGTACTCATATATGTTTTCTAGAGAAGGAATCTATAGTTACCGTAAGATTCTTAAAGCTGTTGTGATTATTTCCCTAGGCCTTTTCATTTGGTCTTCCACCGCAGCCTGTGCAAACTCCCATCATAATCCCAGTTGCACATCATTTATCTTGCTTTACCTTTCTATCTCAGTGCTCATTCTGAATATGAATGAGTTTAATATATTTTCACTTTCAGAACTTTTTGTCAGGCAATCATTACAACATCTTTTAGGTTCTGCCCACCTCTAAGCCTCCTCACCACCACTCCCGCCACAGTGGGTATACTTTTCTTAGTTTTTGCCTCTCTGTCCCACCTCTCAAAACTAAGAGATTTTTAGATAGTCATAATTTTCAGGTTCTTTTTTTTTTTTAATTTTTATTTATTTATTTATTTATTTATTTATTTATTTATTTATTTATTTATTTATTTTTTGAGATGGAGTTTCACTCTTGTTGCCTAGGCTGGAGTGCAATGGCACGATCTCGGCTCACTGCAACCTGCACCTCCTGGGTTCAAGCGATTCTCCTGCCTCAGCCTCCCAAGTAGCTAGGATTACAGGCGTGCACCACCATTGCCAGCTAATTTTGTATTTTTAGTAGACATAGGGTTTCACCATGTTGGTCAGGCAAGCCTCAAACTCCTGACCTCAAGTGATCCACCCACCTGGCCTCCCAAAGTGCTGAGATTACAGGCATGAGCCACCATGCCCAGCTCAGGTTCCTATTTTTTATCTTCTTTTGTAGAACAAGGCTCTATTAAACTCCCAATTGGTATTTATATGTCCCACCTTCCAGCCCAACCATATCATCTAATAATATCCGTCTAAAATAACAATCAACTTTGGAGGTGTTTTTTTTTTAATCTATAAATTGATGTGGCTCTACTAATGCTAGTATGTAGCCGGAGTTGTGAATCATATAAATCCTTCAGAAGTTTATCATGCCTGTTAAGATTACTATTACTATTAATAAAATCACAGATTGTATCGTATTTAGCATTAGAAGAAGTAAGTACTTATTATTGAGACTTGGCTTTTGTTTTTCTGAGATTGTTACTTTTCAGTGGATCTGTTTATACCTTGTTGAAGAGAGGCAGAACATATTGTCCTAAGGTACAAATCTTTGTTAGTTTTATATAGTTTTAATGGAGGAGGAGCATCATATTTGTGTGTGTTTGAGTGTTTTAAGCTTTTCTGGTTAAATAAAGTGCCTGACACTTTCCCTCTACCTTGCTTTATGTGTGGAAAGTTGTTGATTGGTTACACAGGTATTGAGAACTGAAAAAGGAGAAAGACAGGCTGTAATACAGATTTAGAGACTGCAAAAAAAGCATCTTTTACCCCAGGGCTGGAATAAAAGAGAAGAAAGCCTGTGTAATGATGAAACCAAGACCCTGGCTTGGTGTCTCTCAGCTACTTCAAGAACCTCAGGAGCTCAGAGGGGAGAACCCTAGCTGGCTGCTTCTGGTGTGCATGGAGGGAAGGGGCTGCACGATGAGACTGGTTCTAGAGGTGCTGGGAAAGAAGCATGGAGCCAGGAGACAGCTGCCTCTGGCAAGTGCATAGCTGAAAGGAGCGCACATGGGAAAGAGAACATCTCTTTCCCTCATCCAGCTCTTCAGGGTCGGCTGCTTTACACCCACACTATGCCTCAGTTCTGAGAACCTCACAGAAAACCGGCTGGCAAAGAAGTAGTAGTTGTAGAGCCCTACACTTAAGCATTGGAAAGCATATGGCAGTTCAGTTTGGAACTTAGTAACTGCCACATCATCTTGGAGAAAAACTCAAGAAATATGAAAGCATATTTTTCTACCAGCTGTATAGGATAAGTTGGAATAAGTTGATCAACCAGATGAATATTCAGCTGTGTACCTGACATCTCCACTTAGGTGTTTAAGATAAGTATTTCAGATGTAACCTTTCAAGAGAGAACTTCTGATTCCATATTCCTCAATTTTTATCTCATTACATGGAGCCACCGTCTACTTTATTGCTTAAATCAAGAACCTAAACAACATTGTTCAATTTCTCCTTTTCCCTTACCCTCTGTGTCCAACTGATCATCATGCCTTGTCAGGTTAACATAACTCTTTTCATCTCTGTTACAACCTCTACCCCAGTCCAGTTCATCCTCTCTGTTGCCTGGACAATGTTAAAGCTCATGACCTATCTCAGTAATCACGCTGGCGCCCCCAGCAGTCCATCCACAAAATAGCACAGTGAGGCTTTAAAGACAAATCCTTTTTTGTCACTTCCCTCTCATAAACCCCTTTGTTTAAGTCAATCAAATTATCTGTCATCTTCTGTCTGCCAAAGCTGTCGGAGCAGATCAAGGTGGTAATTGGCATCAAAATTCTTCATAAAATGTGGTCACTCATCATTTTTTCTTTTCTCTGATATTTGTTATTCTTCAATTAAATTAGTCATGTATTTTTTTGTTTGGAAAACCTTTTCTACCCATTATTTCAAATTTATAGAAAACTAATTCATTTTTTAAAATATGTTGAGCACATTCATTTTTGCAAGGCTTTGGGGGTTACAAGGAACATGGGTTTATTGGTTATTGGTTAGTTTATGGATACAATTCATGATAAATTTCTTTAAAAATCAAAAAATAGAAAAACTGAGATAGCACATGGCTATATATGATTGATCACCCCAAAAATAAGCAGCATGAATTTATAAAAGCAAGACCAGTATGCGTGAGAGTTCTTAGAAAAGCCTGCACTCAGGAGAATCGCTTGAACCAGGGAGTTGGAGGTTGCAGTGAGCCAAGATCACGCCACAGCACTGAAGCCTAGCGACAGAGCGAAACTCCAGCTCAAAAAAAAAAAAAAAAAAAAAGCCTGCACTCTGAGAGAAAACGATGATCTGTGTTATTGAGGAACACATAGGATGCTTCCAATAGGAGCCTAACTTGGAGAGGAAAGTACCAGGTCTACTCGGGGATTG